>NC_000013.11:78256590-78408106 GCF_000001405.40 Homo sapiens | reverse complement strand
ATTTGTGCATAATAGATACTTGAGTAAATTAATGATTGCCTTTGCCCTTTAAGTAAAACCATTCTATAGTTCATTAGGACAAGTAAATCCAGTTTAGTATATTAACAGCTGCTAATTGCTTCAAGGTTATTACTGCCTAGCTCACATTAATATTAATAATGATAATTCCTACCAAGTGTACAAGATTTTATAACTTACGAGGAACTTCAACACCTATGACAACAGTTAATCCTCATTACAATCCAGTGGGATAAGGATTCTATTATCCCCGTTTTACAGATATAGAAATTTATGCTTATAGAAATTAAGTGAACTGCAAAATATGGAACAGAAACCTAGGGCTTCTGACTACAGGTTTGTGCCCCTTCTGGTGTCTTTCTGAAGCAAAACATGTCTTGCATGAAATCAAGAGGTGTTTTCTCAAATGACATTTGTGGTAGAAACCCTCATATACAATATTCATTGACCTTAAGGCATTTTTCCTCAAATGAGAAAGTCAGAGATAGGAGAAAGAAAAAGTCTACAGGATTTGGGTAGTAAGGTGTTAGAGAGAATGAGGGAGAGAGAATTAAAACAGAGCCACAAATTGGCACTTTGGTGCCTGGAGGTGTGTTGGGGGAATTGATAGGGTAGATGAAAACTTGGACACGCATCAGGGCTGTGGCTCACCAGGCCCTCTTTTTCCTGCTTCTGTGGTTGTGGATACCTGTGTTGAGATAGAACTGAACCCTGAATGATTCCATTGTTCATAGGTCCTGTCACATGAGTGAGAATTAAATACAGTTGTTTTAAGCCACTGTGACTTTGGGGCTCTTAGTTTCTACAGTATAATCTCAATTCTAGGCCACCCTGACTCATAGATATCTGAGGAGAACTCTATAGGCAGTTGGTTGAGCTAGAAAGCAATTCAGGTTCTTGATTTTACCCTTTGATTAATTTCGTTCTCTCTCCTCCCCATTGTTGTGGGTGAGGGCCCTGTTTGATTTATAAAAACAGCAACCCGAAATCTTGCTGGCTTCTTTCTCATCCAAGCTTAGGAGCTGAAAAGACTTATTATCTAATTGTTAATGGCACAGAGTAGAAAGATCTGGGATCTGAAGTCAGAAGTCCTAAGTGACATCCTTGGGTCTGTTTTCCAAAGCTGTGTCCTAGGCAAATCTCAGCTTATTACTACTCTATCAACTGGGTAATACTGGGTAACTTATGTGGTTGCAAAGAGCCAACAAGCTATTATGAGTGAAAGTAGTTTGTAAATTTTAAGATGCTTTATAGATGCAATTATTAGTATAAGACCAGCGCAAAGGACAAAAGTAAGAGTAGCTGCATGTAAATATCTACTTAAAAGCAGTTATATATTTAAAAAATCAAGATGTGTTTTTTAAAAAATATTAAAATCAGAAAAACACATTACTGAGCACACATCAGCTAGTGATAACCACTTTTGAAAATAATAGCTCTCGCTTGTTGAGCATCTGCTATGAGCCAGGCCTGTGCTACTTGCCTTGCATCCTTCAATTTCAGTATAATAATGATTGCTATTTACTCTCTGTCACTTACTTTTATATAAAAACAAAACACATCTTTAATTTAGGAAGGTACAGAAGAGCTGATTCTGGTTGTGCATGTTTTGTGTTGTTTACTTTTCCCATAAATCTACATATCCATGGTTACTAAATCTTTAAAATGATACCAAAAAGGAACATGCCAGGACTCACTCCTGCTATACCCAATCCATCATATCTTAAGAGTAGCTCCAAGAGATAACTTATGGAAGAGAAAGGCTGTTAGCAAGGGTCAGTACTAGGGTAAAGCAATATTGATGCCCTGGGGCACAACGTTTTAGGGAGCACTCATTCTCAGTTGCATAGTCTGAGAGTGAATGTCTTCTTAATATTGTGCCCTAGGCTCCAGCCTTGCCACTTCTTATTCCTGGCTATGTTCCCCCTATTGTAACCATGCCAGAAATTTAGCAGAAAAAAATAAATTCCCTAAAACATCCCATTATATATGTAACAATTTCTTTCTTGAAAACTGATTAAAGCCACTATATAATTTACACAATATTTAGTACAATTGTAAGAGGATTTGGAATTTAAGGAAAGTAAGAGTGAGTATGACAAATTTTATAATAGACCACTAAGGCAGAACCCACTTAAAAAAATGCTGCTGATGATGGAGATTAGCGCAAAGCACACGTCTACAGTAACTTGGACCAAAGACCCAACACAAAGGAACTTTTTCTGAATGCATCCTAGATATAGGTCTCTACTGGACAGAGACTTCTTTTCAGTCTCATTCTGGGATTTCTATAGAGAAATAAACTCACTTGTTCCCCTCATTGTTAGACCACTCTATTATTTTGGAGGTTAAATGTAATTGTTTTCTTACACTTTTCTGTATTTTCCTCTTCCTTTTTCTTTAATGAGTGTGCATTACCTCACAATAAACACATTTGCAATCAAACAACAAATTGAACCTAATCTATTATTGGTGGCTTTTGGCCTTCAAATGACTATTTCACACAGGTCCCTATCCCCCAGCCCCCTGCCTGAATCCCCACATTCAAATTCTCCTTCAGTTTTCCAGGACTTCAGCCTGGCTCCCACCAAAGGCCAAGTCTTCCCCGTGTGCTGTGGAGTCCATGTCCTTTTTACTTCTCTCCTGTGATTTAAGTTTTTCTCTTTCCTGGATTGTTGCTATCAACATGCACACAGCTCTCTTCTATATTTAAAAATCTCTTCGTGGATCTCATATTCCTAGTAATTGTCGGTAAACACTTTCTTCACTTGCTCATCTCCCATTCTCGTCCCACCCAGGCTTTCTTCTGGCCCCACACATCATTGAAATGGCTCTTGTCAAGGTCACGACTGACCTCCATGATGCTAAATCCAATGGACATTTGTCTCTTTTCATTTTATTCAACCTCTCATTAGCATTCAACGCTGCTGGCTGCTCCCTTTTTTCTCAAAACATTTTCTTTTGTTTCCAGTGTCGCCCTCCTTCATATTCATGTTTTGTTCCCCTTACCTCACTGGCCACTCAGCTTCTGTTTCCTTTGCTAGCTTCTCCCTCTCTGTGGCTCTGTGTAAGAATCCTGGAACTCTGTTTTTGCTCTAAGTACACTGCCTACCATGGGTAATCTGCCAGCTCATGTCTGAATATCAACGGCTGCTTTCCTATTTTATATATTTAGCTCTGGAGTCTCCTTTAATGTCCAGACTCATATGTCCAACTTCCAACTTGACATTGCCATGTGAATGCCTAATAATTTACTCACAATTTCAATGTCCTGTATAACAAAACATCAAACTTATCTCTAAATCATATTTTGAACCCAGGGGCTTAGCCTGGGTGGTAGCTTCTAGAACACACAAGTAGACTTCTAAATGGTCTCATTGCTTTAATTCTTATAGTACTACGCCTTTCCACTTCTGTTTTCCAGGCAGGAGCCAAAGTGATCTTTTTGAAACTACAAATTAGGTCATCTGTTATTGAAAACTTTTCAGTATCATTTTGGTCTCATCTTCAATGTGACCTCCTTGCAAAGATGGTCATTCCCTAACACCCAGATTAAAGTAGCCTTTCAGTCACTCTGTCACATTACCCTACTTTATTATCATCATTGCATTTATCAATAACTGATGGTCTCCCATTTATTTGTAAGCTCCATGAATATAGGGACATTGTTTTGGTCATTGCCTTAGCCTCAATGCACAATGTATGTCACATAATATGTGTTCAAAGATAAAGAAACAAATGAATGAATGGATTTATTCCCCAACATCCATTGCAATACATCATGACTTTCTTTGGCTATGTCTATGTGACAATACTAGCTTAGGAGATTTTACAATTAATTTGGGTAGATTAATCTTTCTGCAAGTACCTGGAATAATTTATTTGACTGCTCCATTCATGTCTCTGTGAAAGGCTGGGGGTTTTACCCAGCTGTAATTTACTTCATGCATGTTACATGAAGGCCAAAAGAAGGGCCATCTTTGCAACGCTCTTTATAATCATCATGCATAATTTGGCATTCTTAAAAGAAAACATGTAGCACTGTGGTGGTAAGAACTTTTATTTTGCACAAGGTTTTGATGTCTTTACTTTCCACTTGCTCACCTAAATATTTTGAAAATATGATGCTAGTCATTCCAATGTATGTACCAGATGTATGTTCTCAGATAAATTTTAGGCATGACATGTATGATATTCATCCTGGAAACAACTGTCTATTTGTAAATTCTCTTTTCCTCATTATATAACCAAAGAACATATAAAACCAGAAATTGGCTGGGCCCAGTGGCTCACACCTGTAATCCCAGCACTTTGGGAGGCCGAGGAGGGTGGATCACAGGGTCAGGAGTTTGAGACCAGCCTGACCAACATGGTGAAACCCTGTCTCTACTAAAAATACAAAAATTAGCTGAGGGTGGTGGCGCATGCCTGTAATCCCAGCTACTCAAGAGGCTGAGGCAGGAGAATTGCTTGAACCCGAGAGGCAGAGATTGCAGCGAGCCAAGATGGCGCCATTGCCCTCCAGCCTGGGTGACAGAGCAAAACTCTGTCAAAAAACAAAACAAAAACAAACAACAACAACAAAAAACAGACAGCACAATGACATCACATAGCCTCAGGTGAACTAGACCATAATAAGCACTGGAAGATGGTTTCTATGCAAGTATACCTCAACAACTCAGTTTCAAGCTGAGCCTCAAAGCACCTTGGTTTAGTGTTTACTGTAGACATGAGGAGATAATGTGAATTTCCATACTCTAAATGTAAGTGCAATCTTATTGTGTTACTATTTGGCTATTTCCCCTTAGCCTCAGCTCTGATGTATAGGCGGCTTTAGTAAGAGTGTTTCCAAGGAGGTTTATGTCTCAGATTCATAGAAACTTCCTCTTCTGAAGCCCCAGCTTAAGATCCCTCCCCTGTATAGTTAAGAGTTTAAGCTAAGTGCCAGTGAATGCCACATTTTTATCACTGTTTTGAGTGACTGTTGTTTGGCAGAGGGCACAGGCACAATACATCTTTGTCTTCCCTTAGCTAATAACCCAGGGTGTAGTAGGCCAGCCATGCCTTTAACATTTACTGCTGCTACATTTGTCTGTGTTGTATAAAAACCATGCAACAGCCTGGCTCTGCTCATTGTTTTCAGAACCTTGACTCTCCTTACCATTCTCATCATCCAAATTTATTTAAGGATGAAACTATTAGAAACACAATTGGTGAATTAATGTCATAGGGACTGCTGCTGGCAGCTCATCAATTTTTGATATGCCACTCAGACAAATGAAACATAAGCCACCCAGAACAAGGGGACCTTTTGACACTTCAAAGGAAACCCCTATGGGTGGTTTCCTCTTGAAGCTACACTAAACTGGCTCGATCTCCTCAGCTGGAAGCTGCCAATGTCTCATTAACCCCTAAAAAGGCCCGGCATGAGCTTTTCTTTTCAGCTATAATTATGCCACGCACTCCTGTTATGCTGCACTGAATCGCAACACTGTCACCAGCACATTATAAACATCCACCCTAATTGAAAAGCAGATTAGACTCTTGTGTTAATTAGCCAAAAAGCCCGCCCACTTGCATGCATTATGATTGCCTCTTAAATACTGAGGATGTTGAAATCCCTCAGAAAGACAAGGCAGACTTAATTGCAATAACCTGCAAATTAAGTTTAATTTACTTTAAATTTACCGGTTTAGCAGGCTCATTTGATGGTGTTAATGTTCTAGCAAATTAATTATCTGAATTAGTCATGCCTGGTGGAGTTTTGCAGCAGAATACATTGTACAGTGGCCTGTTAATAACAGACAAACAGGACAGGATTAATGAGAAGATTATGCTCAAGTTCTTAAAAAAAAAGGATCTTGCATGAATTCAAATATAATCACCAAAGTGCAAATACAGACACAGAATATAAACAAACTGAGATTTATTACACTCTATGGCATGCCATCCAGGAGAAACAGTAAAACATGACTGGTGAAATATCAGACAGCAAGAGCCCTATTCCATACACTCCTGTGGATCTCTCCTAGCCACAAACTGTTTCCCGTTAGTGAGCATATGTGAACACCATGGTCAGCAACCGAATGCCTTAGACAGGCAGTGGACTGCAGAAAAGGACTGGAATGTCACTTAGAAATAGCTTCCTGTGGCTAGTTCTATTGCCCTTTTAGTAATGTATAAAGCTTTCAGATGTTTTCTGGAACCCACTTTAGCTATCTCTTAGGCTAGATCTGAATACTATTAGCCCAAATAATCTGAAATAATGATTATCTTGCTTCCCCTCTTATCTTTATCCCAGTAAAATCTGTCCTGCTTGCATGTGGGAAATTTGGCCAGGGTGGAGAAGAGGGGGAAGAAGAAAAATAGGAATGCCGAATATTAGAGGAAATTTAGAGCATCAACATCTTTGTAGAAGCTTCTACATTTATTCCTCTCTGAGGATAACAAGTGTATCTTATTTGTGTTTGTATCTGCCAGGTGCTAGGACACAGCCTGGGAAATGATAGAGGCTTAAAAACATTCTAATTTTTTGAATGGATGAAACACAAAATTAGCTTAGTGACAATTTCAGAAGAATTACTCAGCCTGGAGGATATTGTAGGGGATTCCTCCTAACAAATATGAAGCCTCTCTGAAAATTCTGTTTCAGTGCTTCTATTGTTATAAATAGTTAGGCTTTCTCCATTTGGTTCTGAAGAGATGCACACAAGCTCTCTTTCCGCCATCCACAGCAGAAAGAAATAGCCTCTGGGTGTCAAACTAATAATCTTTGGCTGGCTCGAACTGAATATGGTCATGCAGTGATTGACCTCAACATGCCAGATTATTGATTGGGCTGGAGATGCCTAAGCCATCATTTTCTTGGAGCAGTCACCGCTTTTGTCTTGATCCCGTCCACAGCTGTCACACTGTGGTGAGCCATTGAAAGAGCCCAGATTTGCATCCTTCATGCATTTATGCCTCTCTGCTTAAAATAAAAATGCCACCACTTGAAAGGCTGAAACATTGATTCTGTTTTTTAAAAAATTATCTCATTAAAAGCCAAGGATTTGGGTTTAGTTGGGAGTGGAGAGAGACACGCAGAATATGTTAACTTGCTTTATTGGGCATATTTAATTTTGGGGGAAAAATAATGAGAATAAAAATTGTTTCAATATGTTTTCTGTATTGTGTCAATATATCACACAGCTCCTTTCTGGAGTCACATTTGCTGTTAGGGTGGTTGGGTTTTTTTGTTGTTTTTGTTGTTGTTCTCTGTTGAATTACAATTTGCAGCAGTAAATGAAACTGGCACAAAAGCAGGTGTTATTAAAACTGGGCAGAAAAAGGACAATAACAGCATAATTCCACTTTAAAGACCGATATGTGTATGGTTGAAACGACTTTGGTTGGAACCCATAGGGAATAGAAAATACACCATAAAGAAAATGGATTTCAGTGACACATAAACAAAAGGCAAATGACTAATATATTTACATATAACATGTGGTGTATTCATTGCACACCATGGTGACAGAATTGTTTATTTCATTTATAATTTATACAGCAAAACCTTATTAAATGTGTAACTAGTTTGCCAGATGATAATATACGTAGGAGATTAGGCTTCTATTATTGAATATCATTAACAACAAAAGATTTTCATTTGTAAGTTAATTTTTTTCCCAGCCCTTTCTTTTCTGTACTGTATGCTTTGAATGGAATCCTGCCTGTCTTCAATCATTATGATGCTGTGGTAAGAAAAAGGTAGCAGTGAATTTCTGGAGAAGAATGCTCACTGGACAACATCACTCCACCTCTACTATGTTCCCTAGAATATCAGTCTTCAGAATATATAAGGCATAACTGATGGGTGTGTATAAATCCATGGTAATTTCAGAGATTCTAGAAAAAGTCTTCTCTGGCAAACAACATTCTGTCCAAGGCCAGAAAAAACAGAATCTGGAAACAGACAAAGATTGCTTTAAAGACTCAAGGGTCCCTTGAGAAAGTGTTGTCAAGAGAAAGATTCACTGTGTTGTCTCTCTTCGGATGGACCATCAGACTAGAGGTTTAAGAAACTTCCAGTCACCAAGGTGGTAATATATGTAGCGCAGAGTGCAAGCCATTTGGCATTTAATCATCCTTCTCCGGATACTAACTGAACAGGATTTTGTTTCTTCCAACACAACAGTGTGTACAACTTCTTGTGTGCTATCTGTTCCTCTCACATACACAAAATACTCTGTATTAGTTCTCATGATTCATTTTCAGACTAAGAAAAGGAAACCCCACCTTTAAGATTTTCCTTCATGCAGTGTTATTTAATGAGGATTAAACAATTTTAGAATGATTGCAGTGAATCTCATTTCAGGCCAGGAGAGGGGTGCTTATAAGGGATGGTGGGATGAGCGGAGTTTGGGAGGGGGGATGAAAGTGAGGTGGCAGAGAAATGCTTTTAAACAATAAAATGTATTTTACTTTCAAGCCTGGAGCTGTCAGGCTTCATTTCAAATAATGTATCCTGACAGTTCATAGCTACTCTTAAAAACTGGGCGAAGCTTTTGCAGTTGCAAACTATTGTGATAAAACATGAAAATACTTTATTCAGGTAAAGTGGAAATAGCTGTTCAGTCTGGTTAAGTTACACAGAAACCTTTTTCTCTCTAAATTAATGCACTGTGCAAATGTCTTGCCTGTGACACCATAGCTGTCCACTTAATAAAAACCCTTCCAGTGAGAACTGTGTCTTAGTGCATCAAAGCATTAGTGAGTGTTCTGAACCTAAAGCCCGATAAACTTGAACATTCAAAACCGGCCTATGAGGAAGTGAATCTTAGTGTTGCCTATCATAAGTGAAAAATGAAAGAACATGTGTTTATTCAGTCTCTATTGTTGGCATGGGAGAAGGCAAATAACTGCTGGGTTTTGTTTTTGGTTTTTGAGAGACTGTTTTGCACATTTTCCCACTTATTAGTTCAATAATTGCTCAAGATGGGAAAAAGTAGCTCAAGGGGACCTTCCTTGGGTATGCAAGCACATCAAAGTAACCGAAAGAAAAATAAGGAAAAGAAAGAAGATAGAAAGAATGAGGCTATTTTCTTTGATTAAGACTCAAAGTAGTGTGATGCAACTGCTGCTAAGAGCTAAAGAGTGTCTGGGTTCAATTAGCAGATGTATGGAGTATAGAATCTAGGAGAAGATAATACTGCTCAGACCACATCTGGACTATTGTGCTCAATTCTCAGCCTGAGACTACTCGAAATTAACTACTATTTAGGCAAGAGCAACAGGGCTGGTAATAAAATATAAAATTATTTTACATGGGGAACAATTGAGAGAATGGAAAGTATTTCTCATTCAGAGAGATTAAATTCTAGCAGAAGATGGACAGTCACTTGGAGGGGAATCCGCAAAGGCTTTACAATAGTGTTTTTATTTTCTCCACTGAATAATAATATTGCTAATATCATTAGTAATAGTAATAATGATACCTGATACTTGTCTAGTGCCCCCAAGTTTACAACCCTCTTCTGATAAATATCATCTCATTTAATCTACCCAACAGCTTGAGAAGAAATTATTGTGTTCTGTGTTTCACATATGAACAAATGAATTCAAGGTGGCTCAGCTATGTGCTCAGGAAGTACAAATAATAAGGGAAAGTCTTGGGACTCCTGGTTTGTTGACCCCCAAATCACGATGGGTAGCTGGACCATATTATTAAAGTATTCTTTTCAATATTCAGTTTTTATGATTTTAATAAACACAGTACTTTGGGAAAATTCTCTTCTTATTCATCTATGTATTCAGGCAAATGGTTATTAATAAGTGTGATAACTGGGCTGTACTGAGGCTACCAATACAAAGAAGGTGTGGGCAGGTCCACTGAGGATCTTGTCCAGTGAAGGAGAACCAAGGAAATAGATAATTACAATGTCATGGGAGGCATGAAGAAGTGCTGCAGAGTCTTAAAGGGACAGTTAACCTTGTGATTGGTGGAGGGGAGGTAGGAAAAGCTTTACAGAGAAAACTACATTCATGTGTCAGGAAGGCTGGAAAGAAGAGAAGAAATCAGGGTGCTGGGGGCTGGGAGCCCAAATCCTCAGAATTTGCATTCTCTGTGTTTATTTGTGCCTTTGTAGGATGACCAACTCCTAGTCTTCCCAGGACTTTCTTGGTTTTAGCAAGTCCCACATCCCATGGAACTCCTCAGTCCCCTGCAAACCATGGTGGTTGGCCATCCTAATTTACCAGGTTAACAGTAGACACATGCAGCGGAGGTACAAAGTATATGAAGCGTTCCAAACAGAAGTGGGCTTTGAGAGTGTAAAGGATAAGACACGACCTAAGTATATTTGCTATTGCTAAAATAATCACTTTGGTTTCATTTTTTTGTTCTACTGCCAAGGTGAACTCTGAATGCTCAGTTGATTCCAACAAGAAAAAAAGAAAAACAAAAGTCTGATTGATTCTAGATTGGTTAGTTCAATAGCACTAACCAAATTTGGCCTTTATCACTTAGTTCCTTTTTTTTCTTTTTCTTTTTTGATTAAGATATTATTCATACAAAATAAAACATACTGATTTTAAATGTACAGTTTGATGAATTGTGGTAACTGCATAAGATGAGGTAATCATAATCAGGATATAACACAGTTCCATCAGCATAAAATGTTTTCTCTTTTAAAAAATTTCGACTTTTATTTTAGACTCAGGGGGACACAGGTGCAGATTTGTTACATTGGTATATTGCCTGATGCTGAGGTTTGGACTATGATTGATCCCGTCAGCCATTACTAGTACTCAATAGAGAATACTACTCAATAGGTAGTTTCTCAGTCCTTGTCTCCTTCCCTCCCTCCCAATTTTTGGGGTCCCCAGTGCCTATTGTTCCCGTATTTGTGTCCATGTTTAGCTCCCATTTATAAGTAAGAACATGTGGTATTTGGTTTTCTGTTTTTGGGTTAGCTCGCTTAGGATAATATCCTGCAGCTGCATCTATATTGTTGCAAAGAACATGATTTTATTCTTTTCTATGGCTGCATAGTATTCCATGGTGTATATGTACCACAATTTCTTTATCTAATATACCACAGATAAGCACCTAGGTTAATTCCATGTCTTCTCTATAGAATCACTTAGTTCTTAATACCGTAGGAAGGTCTATCGGTAGAGGTAATATTTGAAAAAGAACCAGCAGAGCAAAGAAACTGGGAAATAAATTTCCAGGCAAAAAGACATCCCCAGTTCCTAGAACAGTGTCTGGCATATAGTAAGTGCTGATTAAATAATTTTTGAAGGCATGAAAGAATGAAGAACTTTTCATGATTTGCAGTAGACTCTGGTCAGTGGAAAGAATGTAGTGGTAGGCATCTCTCCTAGGACAAAGGACAAAAGAATGCCTAAAGTCCATTTCCCAAATTTTTTCTAAAGTTAGGGCTCAAAGATAAATTATCTTTTTGGCAAATAAATAAGATAGTACATAGGGGGCTACAATAAAACAGATTTATAATTTGGAAACAAATATATAAAATGGCCATTTTTAAAGATTTGAAGTAACAAAAAAATTCACAAAAAAGTGTTGAATATGTATCTATAGAAGTTTTCTGCCCTAGAAGATGTATATTAACACGAGAGATTTGGGAAATACCCAAGCCCTGTCAAAGTGCCTTAGTTTCGGCTGCTGTAACAAAATACCATAAAATGGCTATAAACAACAGGCAGCTTATAAAGAACAAAAATTTATTTCTCACTGCTCTGAAGGCTGGAAGTCCAAGTTCAGAGTCCCAGCATGGTTAAGCCATGACTAGGTAAGGGGCCTTTTCCATTCTGCCACCTTCTTATTGTATCCTTATATGGCAGAGGAAGAGAGAGAGCTTTGGTCTCCTCATCCCCTTAAAGGGCATTAATCCCATTCATAAGAGCTCCACCCTCATGACTTAACTACTCCCCAAAGGCCCCACCTCCAAATACCATTGCATTGGGGATTTAGGCTTCAACATATGAATTGTGAGGGCAAACAAACATTCAGTCTACAAAACAAGGTTATTAGAAAATACATTTAAGTCTGAAAGGTAGGCTTGCTAAAGAAATAGATTAACTCCTCTCTATCCTCAATAGAGAGGATCCTGGAGCCATGGTCCACCTAAATGGTGATTCTAGTGGAGATGATGTAACAGTCCTTCAGCATTTGCCAACTACCACCTTGGCTCTGATTTCACATCACTATTCAGTTTTTCCATGAACATTTTCCAGGGGTAATTGACTAGAATCACACTAGACTAACTTTGTGAGGTCAAGAACTGTATCTGTCCTACTTACCTATCTGTGCTTCTAGCGTAGAGTGTATACAAAATGGAGCTCAATATTGGTTTAATAAAATGGATATAGCTTTGTTTTTACTTTACAGCCCTTCTCTTACATGTTGGCTTATCATTGATCAGCTTTGAGTAATTGGAGATCTTGACTTTGGAGTGTTCTGTCAACCTGAGAACCAGAGTATTATGGGCTGCATTGTGTTCACCCTCCCACCTCATCCATATATTGAAGTCCTAACCCCCAGTACCTCAGAATGTGACTGTATTTGGAGATAAGATTCTTTTTTTTTTTTTTTTTTTTTTTTTGAGACAGAGTCTCGCTCTGTCGCCCAGGCCAGACTGCGGACTGCAGTGGCGCAATCTCGGCTCACTGCAAGCTCCGCTTTCCGGGTTCACGCCATTCTCCTGCCTCAGCCTCCCTAGTAGCTGGGACTACAGGCGTCCGCCACCGCGCCCGGCTAATTTTTTTTGTATTTTTTTTAGTAGAGACAGGGTTTCACCTTGTTATCCAGGATGGTCTCGATCTCCTGACCTCATGATCCACCCGCCTCGGCCTCCCAAAGTGCTGGGATTACAGGCGTGAGCCACCGCGCCCGGCCGAGATAAGATTCTTATAGAGGTAATTGAATTAAAATGAAGTCATCGAGTAGTTCATATTTCAATATGACTGATGTCTTTATATGAAGAGGAGATTAGGACACAGCCATGTATAGAGGGGAGGCCATGTGAAGAGACAAGGAGAAGATAGCCATCTACAAGCTAAGGAGAGAATCCCCAGAAGAAACCAGCCCAGTTGACACCTTGATCTGGGATTTCCAACCTCTGGAATAAAAAAATAAATTCTGTTGTTTAAGCCACTCAGTTTGTGGTGCTTTGCTTTGGCAGTACTAGCAAACGAATACACAGCTGCCCATCTAGGAGGAGGTGCCACCTTCCTGGCATTTCTTTGACATTTCTATTAATTCATGGAACAAATGATGGCTATGACAAGCCATCTGAGAAAAGCCAAAAAAAGGTACTGCCAGATCTATTTTCCAGATAATCATATTGAGGCTCAAAGTGGTTTGAAGTAAAATTAAACATGCAGCTTGCTTGGCTGTATTGTCTTTTAAGTCTGTTCTTCAGAACATTATCCCTGGAAGATCAGTAGAAAAAAGAACTCTATGATCCAATATATTTGAAAACACTATATATTCTCTCTTCCCCTTAGTGATTCATGCAGTCTATTAGCATATTACGGACTCTGATACTGTATTTCAGAGGGCTATTTAATTTTATTAAGTCTAGTATTTACCAAGTGTTTTTGATCAGAGAATTTATTTCCTATAGTGTCTCCTAATATTTAATACAATGAATATTCTATTGAAAATATTTCAGTAAATGCTTAACTATTTGCATTGGTGTTCCAATCTGTATTGCCAAATGGACATCAAATTCTATTTTGGCAATAAAGTACTGACATTATTATTAGCCAATGAGAACATCGGCTTAAGTGGCTCTCAAATAAATTGATGACATATGTTGTCCCCCTGGCCAAACTGCCCTGTCCATCCTTATCCCCTTGGTTATATTTCAAAATCCTTCTCAAGTTTCACTTTCTTTGTATAACCATTCTTTACCCTTTCTCCTCTTACCCCCTACCATAAGACATAGTCCATCACACTTTTTTCTGGATTGCATTCTGGTACATGTCATTTGTATAGATTTAATTATGTTTTGTATTGTATAGATTTAATTGCATTTTTATTTTTCCTCTTAGATTGAGAAACTCTCGAGGGCAAGCTGTGTGTCACACTCATCTATCGCTGGCACAGAGCAAAGTGTCTGACACATGGTGAGTGCTCAGTGAAGGGTAACACAGTGAATTATTTCCTGGTCTGTAACCAGTCCTCTAGTGCTGTATCAGCTGGACACACTATCTTGTCTACCTTTTTAATCATATTAAAGTCATAGAATAAAAAAATTTTTCAATAGAATGTTCTGGAAAAAAGTACCAATACCTTTACAATATTAAACTCAGCAAGCTGTATTGAGCATGCACTGAAGCTAGTGATGATCAGTTTTTGAATAATAATAGCTGTCATTGGTTATACACTTACTATGAGCCAGGCCTGTGCTAAATGCTTCACGTACACTATTTTAGCATAACAATGACTACTATTGGCTCTGTGTTGCCATCATTTCCAAACAAAAGCACAAACACTATTGAAAACACAAAATGAGCCATGAGCCGTGAGTTCTTATCTGGAGAGTTGTGAGGAAGTAGTAGTGAGAAAGAACACAATTTCCTGTGGTCCAGCCCCTTCTCTTTATGCAGGAACTCCCTGCCCCCCAAATATATCCCAACTTAGCCTGTTACATTTCACCACTACTGTCACCACTGAAGGCCAAGCTGCCACCACATCTTGCCTGAACCACCACTAACTTTCCTATTTGCACCCACTCTTGTCTCCCAGCAGATTATTTTCCACCAGCAGCCACAGCAACTTTTTTAACTGTAAATTATATTACTAGATGTATTTGTTTAAAAACTCTAGTTGTTCACTATCACATTTGGAATAAAATTCACACACCTTATCAAGGTCTACAAAGCCTTTTTGATCTGTTTTCTACCTACCTCTCAGATACAATTTCTATGTTATTCATTTTTTTTATTTGTGCCTTGAGCAAGCTTATTCTTGTCTCAAGGCCTTGGCATTTGTATGTAGTTCTTTTTGCCTGGAAATTTCTTTCCCAGGTTCTTTGCTCTGTTGGTTCTTTTTCAAATATTACCTCTACAGATAGACCTTACTAATATTAGTCCTCTTTAGTTACTTTCTATTGCTTCTCCTGCGTGTGTGTGTGTGTATTTACTCACATAAGTATGTAAAATCATCTTTCTTATTTGTTTCTTATTTCTTTTATGTCTTCCTAAACTAGAAGGCATGTTCCATGAAAGCAGGGACATTACTAATTTATTTATGACATGCCCAGTTCCTAGAACAGTGTCTTGCATATAGTAAGTGCTGATTAAATAATTTTTGAAGGCATGAAAGAATGAAGAACTTTTCATGATTTGAAGTAGACTGTGGTCAGTGGAAAGAATGTAGTGGCAGGCATCACTCCTAGGACAAAGGACGAAAGAATGCCTAAAGTCCATTTCCCAGATTTTTTCTAAAGTTAGGGGTCACTGGGTCACTGAATATCAAAACAATGATCTACACACTGTTTTATAAGTGAAAATTAATTTTTTAAGGGACTTCCCATAGTGACACCACTAGATCCCATCCCTACCGCTAGAGATGAAATAGCCTCTAATTTAGTCCTTTGGGTACTTCAGAAGGGAAATCCTCTTGGGTATGGTTTATAGTAGTCAAAATTTGGAATCAATTCTATTCTAGAATTAACAACAACAGAATGAAGCTCTGGTAGAATGAAATGGAATCCCTGCTGAACCCAGAAGCGAAAGAAGTTAGAGGGAACAGGACTGGAGCCTATGAAAACATCTCAGCAGTGAAAGAGGTAAAATGTCAGTTCTTGTGCTTTATTTGTGACCTGGCCTCTCTGGGAAACTACAGTCCTCAAGCCCACTGGGGAATGCATATCTGCTATCAGCCTTACATGACAAAATCCTTTCTCCTCTGGATTCAATGGGAAAATCATGTCAAGGTGTTTTTTTTTTTTTAAGTTACTGTACAAGAAAGAACCACACTGTCATTGATCAGCTATAAACCTTCATGGCAGAGAAAATCATTGTGGGATCCAGCACGTTGCAAGAGAAGATGTGAGGGGCCTATGTAAGGTTCTGGGTATAAAAGCACATGAAACAATTTTGGCACTCCATAAATATTCACTTTCTCTTCTCTCCTTCCTTCCTTCATCATTTTCCTTTCAACCCAGGTATAGTGCATGGAGAAAAGCAAGTTGAACACTCTACAAGTGCTATGTATTATCATTTAAAGATAAATTAAAAACAATTCCTCCTAAAATTGGTATGAGCAAAATGGAGATTTGCTTTGCAATAGTTTTCAAATAAAAAGAATACATTTGATCAAGCTCAAAGTTAATGCCTTTTTACTTTTAAACATATAAAAATAACTCAATTTGTAATAACAATCATGATTACAATTCATAACCTAACATGATCTAACCTCTTCCAAATAACTTTAAGAGCTGTAGTATCTCCAGCATCTAGAACAATAGTTGGCACATAGTAGGTTATAATCAAATGTTTTTGAAGGTATAAAAGCATGAAGAGCTTCTTTATTATCCTTGGCAGAATCCAGCTGGGGGACAGAAACTTGGGGTGGTCACTCCTGGAAGGAAGTCCCTGAAATTTATTTCCTGCACCATTAATGGATTAGTGCTTTATTATTATTTCATGAACTGCACTGAATTTGCTAAGCATATTCTACTTTTGGAAATACTTTAAAATATGTTATACATAATCTTCACAGCCCCCTTGTGAGGCAGGAGGAGTTTTGCTCTTCCTTACTAATTGCTAGAGAAACTACAAAACAATGTGTTTACATAACTTGCCTTCTCCCTCCACCGATTTGTGGCCCCTCCAAGATTAAAGCTGTGATTTTCTGGCTGTAATCAAGTAGGCTACCTGAGTGTAACATATATATAACATATATATTTCAAAGAGAGGATAAATAGGCTGCAAAAGTGAGGATTTTTGAAGAAAAATGAAAAAAGCTGGTGCTAAGATGTTTAAATAGTGCAGATGAAGAACAACAATAAATTCTGGAATCATTGTCTTAGGAGAAGTGAAGACAGGCGAATACTGAGTGATGATGTTACAGGAGAGTATATGATTATTATAAGTTTATGATACTTTTTCATTTTATCTTACATTACAGTTTCCAGTGTGCCCATTTATTTCTACACTATAGAAAAAGAATCCTGGGAGATAGAACCAGTATTTTATACAATTTTTCATCATCCATAATACTTCAAGCATTTAAGAATCTAAGTAAATTTTAATTAGTTAGACTCCTCCATTTCTGCATTCGCCCTCTGTATCATAAAGAAAAATGAAGATGTTTTCATCTTTCCTAGGCACAGAATTAAAATGGAACAGCTAGAATCTAAGTCTACAAATATTTATACTTTAACTCTTTCAAACCACTTTATTGAGGTGTGACTGACATACAAAAAGCTGTACTATTTAATGTATGCAACTTCAGTTTGGAGATAAGTATACATTGGTGAAACCGTCACCACTATCTATGCCATAAACCTCTTCATCCCTTCCAAAGATTTCCTCCCACTCTGTTTATTATCATTTTTTTTTCTGATAAGAGCACTTTAGATAAGAGCTACCATCTTATGGTGGTTGCCAGGGGCCAGGGGCAGGTATTAGTCAAAGGGTACAAAGTTTCAGTTATACAAGATAAATAGATCCTAGAGATCTACTGTATAGTCTAGTGTCTACAGTTAACAATACCGTATTGTATACTTCAAAATTTGCTCAGAGGGTAGATCTTATTTTAAGGCTACAACTCTTTAAATCAGCAATTCTGGCCAGAGCTATAGAGTAGAAGACAATGTATACCAGGAGTGCTTGGAAGGCCAATTTGGGGCCCAATATGGAGTTGATGAATTCATCACCCTGAGGTCCACTGAAACCCCCTTACTCTCTCCTTCTCATGGCCCAGACCTGGCAGACTCACTGGTAGTTATAGTCCTTGCTCAGTTTCTCTAGCTCACTGGCCATGCCTTAGACATCTTGAAGTCTAGTCTTACCATGAACTTGATGGTATTCTAACCCAGAAATTGCTTCTTGTCTCCACAGGTGCTTACCAATGGGCATAAGGGTCACATAGTATGATGAAGTGATGTGGGAAAGGACACTCCATCTGCCTGTGTGCCTGAGAAGATGGAGACCTAGGCTGAAATATTCTGGCATTCAATAAGGATTAATTTGTCTATACTAGCTACTGGGTATTTGAATTTTATAAAATTATATTTTATAGTTGTATAATGTTATAGTTTTATAATTTTATCACCAAAGTTTTTCAAGATCTCTTTCACTTTGTATTTTTGCTGGTTTCTTTCTCAAAACACATGTCTGGTAATGCCATTCTCCACTTCAAAGAATAGGACACAATTACACAAAGCATAGAACAAAGCCTAGGTTTCTTTCATGGCATTTATCGTTCTTTGGAATCTATTATATCTCTTACTCCCTCCACAAACTCTGATTTTAGCAATGCTGAAAACACTCGGTGCAGAGACCGAGGTGGATTCACTTTATTTCTCCTGTGCTCAGTACAAGCTGTGGCACAGAGTAGGTGGCCAGTGCATGCTTACTGAACGAATGGATGGATGCAACTATGGGGCAGTCTCTCAAGCGTGCCTTTCCCCGGCTCTCCTTTACGTTGGCTCGTGCTGCGCTCTCCACCTGGAAAGCCTTTTCCTGCCACTTTCTATTTTATTTGTATCTATTATTGCCCTATGTGTTCATGTCCAGAGCAAATGACAGCTCCCAGGGCAACTTTCCTAGATGTTGGACTTCATCCCTCTGTGTTCTGAATCCGCCTTATGAATATGGCCTTCATGGTACTTTTTATTCTACCCTAGATGACAGTGTTTGTGGGCAATTTATTTCTACCCTGAACAAGAATAGAACAATAATCCTGGGTGATAGAAGCAGTATTTTACAGAACTTTTCATCCTCTGTAATACTTTGAGGATTCAAGGGTCTCAGTAAATCTTAATTAGCTAGAATCCTCCCTTTCTGCATTCCCTCCTCTGTATCCCCTAAACTTCTCCCTTCAGTTCATCATTTTCCTCAGTTCATGCCTTCCTACCCTGTTTTAAATGGTATCCTCTTAAGTCCCACATTTCTCTCCTGACTCCTCATCATATCTTTCACCCCACTCATGGAAGCCTGGGCTCAGGTCCTCCTTTTTCTTATAGGGCCAGCTCCTGCCCCTGCACTTTTTTCTTCTTATGAGTACTATAAAGGCAGTAACAGTGACTGTTTTGAAGACACAAAGAGGAGTGTGAGATAGTTACAAAGATGGTGGCCCCTTGGCCTGGGGAATTAGAATAAATGAAAAATAAAAATATGGAGGTAGAGTATATCTCTCTAAGGAAGACTGCTCTCTATTTGGCTTTAGCCCACATTGTTGAGGGGGACATTTTCTTTGAGGAGGTCCTCACTTGCCTTCTCTCTTGCCAGCTCTGCCCCAGAACTCTCCAAGCAACTCCAGGTCACAAAATATGAAACAGTAGTAGATGAGTCAGTCCATGCCCAAGAAGAGGCTCTAGTGGGGATTGATGTGAGGAAAGGTTATGGAGGCTGGATCGGGGCCAAGGCATAGTCCAGGTAGCAAGGGGATGGTGAGTTAGGCAGGACACCAGGGAAAGGGTGGGAGGTCTAAGATGCTTTCTTCTCATCTATGGTGAGGGCTGGGGAGAAGAAATGTTAAAGATGGTCCAAGTTCATTTATATTCACATCTTCCCATTTGTCCAGTTCAATTTCCCTTTATCCACATCATACCAATACTTCCATTTTTTTCTTAAATTCTTTTATGCATGCTCTTATTCTTTTCTATCCCTAATAGTACAGTTCTCTTTGTCATCATTGTTTGGTCATCCTGTATGTTTTTTTAATAACCTGCATTTCTCAATTTGTTTGCTTTTTTGTCCAAGTCCATTTTTTAATAACCTGGATTTCTCAATTTGTTTGCTTTTTTGTCCAAGTCCATCTGAGTCATGTCTTCATCTGAGGTGGATTTATATCCTCATCCTCCACTGATTCTGTTCTCATTTTGAGGTGGGGGAGGCCTGTGGCTGGAGGGGAACCTGGGGACGTATTCTACTTTCTAGCACTATCTTAAGGAAGACTGCCACCAGGAGTGGACTTCTCAGTGTTTGGTTCCCACACCTGGACAAAGCAGGTCACAAAGCAGGTCGGGGATGTGAAGCTCTTTGTCAGAAACTAGCTACAGGTGTGAGGAGGCAGCCATGGCGATAGGAAAAGAGAAATAAGCCTCAGAGAAGTTTTGAGAGAAATGACACGCCTATGGCCTTAAAGCTGAGGCACAAGGTGGAGAGAAAGCCTTCTTATGAGCTTAAAACATAACCAGGAGCCAAAAAGGTTTAATCCTT
The DNA here is from genome assembly GCF_000001405.40 of Homo sapiens. NCBI lineage: Eukaryota > Metazoa > Chordata > Mammalia > Primates > Hominidae > Homo > Homo sapiens. The sequence continues at coordinate 78,387,682 of NC_000013.11, read as the reverse complement.
TTTGATGCCACGTGGAAGGACCATGATATTGGGGTCTTACAACTTCCTTTCAATAACCTCCCACAAGCTGAGCTAACAAAAGAATGTTTCTTCAGCAGACAGGTATATGGTAAGTCCAGCTAACTACTTAAAAAATCTAAATATCTAAGACAATCCCTTAACTTTTCATTCTTTTCACTCATTAATAAGCTGTTTGGTTCCTTTTTCTTTTTAGTTTGTGCAAATGTACATAGCACATGAGAAATTTTGTTATGTGTATATAATATATATTGATCAAGTTAGGGTAATCAGGGTGTCCGTCACGTAAGTACAATACATTTTGTTAAGTATAGTCATCCTACTTTGCTATCAAACACTGAATTTATGCATTCTATCTTACTGTATGTCTGCATCTTTTAACACACTTCTCTCATCTTTCCCAGTCTTTGTTATCTATTTTTCTACTCTCTGTCTCCATGTGTGCAAATTTTTTATCAGCTAGTCAATTTCTGTGTCTTCATGTAACTAGTGTGTGCATGGCAAACCACACTGTACTAAGGACTGAAATGGGGCTGTATGGAATGAGTCAATTTATACAAATATGTTTGCAGATATCAAAAGTGTATGACAGCCTCAACCCTAAATTATTCTGTACCTCCAAATAAAAGTTTATTTTGCAAGAATGGGAGAACTGTATTATTCTATCACTTCTTAAAATATTCATAAAGCAAGGGCCATCTTGAGAGGGGAAAAGCATTTTCCCCACATTCTATGCTGTCATAAAGGCTTCATGGTCAAGCTGAGCTTTCAAGAGGAGGCCTTTCTCTGGTCTATGGCCAGAGGCTTGAGCAACCAAATTTTATTATCTAGATCACAAGATATATAAATCCTGCCTTCAGTAGATCCTCTATTACTTCCTCCCACTTCTCCAGGCAAATCCACCTTGAATTTGTACAAGGAGAATTGGCAAGAATTAATAGGCAAGGATGGACAGCTACATGTGCCCTGGCACTCTCTGCTTTGAGTAAGCCAACTACACTGACTAGAGAGCTGCAGGAGTCAAAAGTTGTTGTTCTCTTGGATCAGAATGATTTCCCACTACTCAGCTTTTTATCTACATTTTGCCCATTCCTCAAAGGTCAGCTCCCTCTCTCTTGCTACTAGGGGCCTTCCCTGCTGATGATTCTTATGGCAGCCCCTTCCTTTTCTGAGCCTATACTACCTGCACTGTTCTCATTAATAATCCTTAGTACTCTGTCTATACCTGATTACTTGGACACATTGTGCTGCTTTCTAGATTTTTTTTTTTTTTTTCTGAGACAGAGTCTTGCTCTGTCACCCAGGCTAGAGTGCAGTGGTGTGATCACAGCTCACTGCAGCCTCCACCTTGTGGCCTCAACAGTCCTCCCACTTCAGTCTCCCTAGTAGCTAGGACAACAGGCGCATGACACCAGGCCCAGCTAATTTCTGCAGTTTTTGTAGAGGTGGGGCTTCACCATGTTGCCCAGACTTGTCTCAAACTCTTGGGTTCAAGTGATCCTCCTGCCTCGGCCTCCCAAAGTGCTGGGATGACCTAGTGTTTCATAAAGGGAAATTTTTTGTACTGACAGTTCCTTCAAAGAAACATTTATAACTCATTATTTTATATTTTTTACTTTCAGGAACTTATTGTTGGAAATTAGTTAACATGTGAACAGTTGAATTAAATTCTATAACGTTTTTAAAAATAGAGCCTTTTGATTAAAGATATCTTAAAGATCCCAGTAAAATGTTCAAATCATTTCAAAATTTATTTTTAGTTTTAAATATAAAGAAATGGAATAAATTATAGTCTTAACTTTGAATTCTTTGACTCTTTTTCTCCTTTTCTCCTTGATATGGGGATGAATAATGTAATAGTATGGTTTGTACCTGCAGTGACAATAACAATACTAAATAATGTTCATCTAACACAGGTACTAGTATTCTGAACCCTTTAAATGTATTTTCTTTCCATTAGCCCTTCAGGACTGTACTGTTAACATGCCCATTAATAGATGAAGAACTGGTATTTAGGGAGGTGACTTCCAAAAGTCACTCACTCACTCACTTATTAAGAGGAAGAAGAGAGTTTTGAGCCCTGGTTTATCTGAGGCCGGATCCCAAATCCTAATCATTGATCTTTACAGTATCTCTCTGTCCCTAGATTAATTATTGCAAATGTCCCTCTTGCAAAAACAAGTTGAGCTCCTTCATTTATTACCAATGAACACAAAGTCCAGAACAGTGGCATTCACCATGTATCTGTACCCTTCCAGTACACCATGATGGCAAGCTTTCATTCAGCTCTGCTGCCATGCCCAAACCTTGTCCTTCCAGGTTTTACAAGTTTTGGAAAAGACTAATTTATAGTTCACAGAGCTATGTACTTCACTGGGATATACAGAAATGGAGACCTGGCCTGTTAAGTACATGATATTTTATTTTGATACATGTAGCTATAAGCTATATACTATTTGAACAAACAGTAGAAAGAGCCAAACAGCTGATTTCCCTTTAGCCTTGACTCTTGAGTACTCAGGGAATTGTTATCTGAGGGGATCTGTAATACGACAAAGTTTTTCATCTGTAGGTCATTAGCACTAAGTACAATCCAGGATAATAAGGGCCATAAGGTGTTTTTTGGTAGCTATTTGACACTTTACAAGAAATAAATTTATGTTCTGATGGACATCAGGAATATAGCCATAGAACCTTCTAACATCTATGGCTTCCTGAAGGATTCTTTAAAGAAGTATGTTAATAAGAGTTGATAATTTTATCAGAAATGATTTCCTGAAATCTGCACTGGAAATGTAAAAGAAAGCTTGAATTCCCTCCACAGATATGGGAAATGGCCCCTCCTATTGTAATATCAAAAGGCTGTGCTGAAATTATTTGCATAATACTGTGTGAATGACATGGGCCACATATACATCCTATAAACCCTCATGGACAGCTTGGGACACCCACATGGACAGCAGTCTTTCCCTATAGACCTTCAAGAATGGGTCAAGAAAGACTAACTGATCAGATGATATGAGGGCCATCTGCAGTTAACAGGAGCATAATTTAGCTACTGAAGAGACCATATAGGGTAAGAATTAAGAGCAGGGACTCATGCCAGGTTGCTGAGCTCCACCACCTACCAGCTGTGTAACCTTGAGGAAGGCAGGCACTCAGTCTCCCTGCCACTCAACTCCTTAGCTCTAAAATGTGGACCATAATAGAATCATCCTTGCAGGGTTGTTTTGAGCATTAAATGAGCTGATATATATGAAGTACTTAGAATAGTGCCTGGTACATTTAAGGAATGACCATTATTATTATTAGAGCAGAATATAGGGAATTATATTGACTTTCATAATAAATGTAAAGGAGCTCTTGAAATTGCAGTTTTTCAATCCTCTTAAGTGAACTAGAAAATATCTATATCTATTTGACATTGTCTGGGTGCCAGGCACCCAGCAGGTTGCCAAGGATACAAACATGAAAAAGTCATAGTCCTTATCCTTGAGGGATTTATCATTGTGAGTAAGGCAGATATGTATAACAATGATCCTCAATTATTATGTTAAGTGCATGAATAGAGATGTCAAGTTGTTATGAGCTGATAAAGAAAGGATTGAATAATTCTCCCTGGGAGGGCTGCTCCAAGAAGATATTGTTCAACTGCATCTTAAAGAATGAGTAGAAGTAAGTTTACCAACATTCAGGACCTGGTGATGGATCTCTTTTTTGGAAGATGCTGTATTTATCTGTATTGTACCTAGAATATTGTGTCGACTTTATCACTGAATAATAGCAGTATTTGCTAATCAACTATGACATGATGGTCTCTTTATTAGCTTTTCTACAAAAGGGTAGAGAGAAAAGAGAATGGGGAGGAAGAGAAAGGGTGAGGAGAGAAAATCAGAAAGAGGAGAAAGAGGAAAGAGCATAATTTTCCCAAAGGTAAAGTTAAAGATAGGAAGGTAAAAAGCTTTCCTGTGTAATATCCTATTCAAAGGCAATAATGTCCCAGTGGCTTATTTTAGTAAATTAATCAGACACATCGAAGCCAAGGAAGGGGCCCTGTCTTTCACCGTTATGAATGAAAGAACTTTATTTAGAGACAATTCCTCCAAGGAAACAATGCTGTTTTAACTGATTTTCATGTGACATCCGGATTTGTCCCTCAATAAGTAACATACAGACATTTCAACTGCAGTTTGCCCAGTTCTGCTTCACTGGTCATTGGGGAAATTCATCTAAAGCTGCAAAAAAGACTAGGAATGTTTGCATCATATTAATAAACAGGAAACCGAGGAAACTGCCAACTGGCAGCAGAGTGTGTTTTGGTGGTTTGATAAGGCTACTAAAGAGTTTATGATGTGACAGATGTTTCACTACACTATTGTGAAATGAATAGATTATGAGAAGTAATTAGATGTACATTGGAATCAATGCTGTTATCATCGAGGCCTTCGGGCGATGCAGTAGATGAGAGTCTTGGCAGCAGGTGGTCCAATGGCTCCGAGACAGGAAGACACACCGCGGGAGACTGAGTGACAGGTTTCACAGATCCAGGGGGTGAGAGATCTGAGCTGGGGCTTGCATTTGTAATCTTTACTCATGTATAAATAATAACAACTCCACCATTGACTTCATATGCTATGTCATAGCCTCTGTTACCCTCACACACGTAGAATAGTGCTGGTTTCAGACACGCAAAGTTATTCTTGGTCTCCGTGTTTTCAAATATGCATATGTATGTTCAACTGTAACTGACAACTCTATCATTTTTTGAGGGAAGATTTTTAGAGCTAATCATCTGATGATTACATTTATTTTTAATGCTTGGCATTGAGCCGCCATTGTACAAAACTTCCTATAGGTTGCAGATCAGAAGCTGCAAAGTACTTTAACTGCCTTTCATCAGGAAAATGATTTCTTCTCTCTGGCTCAATGACTAACGTTTAAAGACACACGTTTGCCTCTCTGCTCTGTGAAATCCCTTTGCAGGAGACTTGGCAGGGTCACCCTCCATCCTTGAAGCAACCATATGGAGCCTGCTGGTTTCAAGAGAAGGTTTTGGTTTCTGCCAGTTTCCCGGGTCAGCTATTAGCACACTGGGGAATGTTGAAGTTTCCAAGCACAGAATGAAGAGGGAGGAAAGAAATGGGTGATTAGGGGAATTAAGTAACTGATTCCCTGTGTACATCTGCCACCCCTGCAGGAAGAAATATCTGGTAAAACCATTTATTAGCCCCTATCTGCTTAAAACAGCAATGGTATTTATGTAAAAGAAGGCGGGGAGCTTTATTGAACAATCTCAAAATAATATGTAGCTCTCATAATTAAAAAGATCTTAGTAGAAAATATGTAGCATATGCTGTATACTCATTCACATGTATACAAGTTTATAATACTCTTATGTTTCTACCTCATTAATTCTATTAGTTCTTCTATTAGAAGAAGTTCTTCTATTAGTTCTTCTAATTCATTAGTTCTTCTATTAATTCTTTTAATAAGCATTCATTGAACCTTTGCTATAACCCTATTACTTGCTGTTACGGATATGAACTTAAGTGATTATGTCATGAAGAACGCAATTGTGTGTGTGTGTGTGTGTGTGTGTGTGCGCGCGCGCGCGCGCGCGCGCATGCGTGCATGTGCGTGCATACATGCTTTCATGTTACTCCCTGTGTGCTTTCCACACAAGAAACTAGATATTTTGTTGGGGTGGTCTTTTTGGGTGCTTTCTTTGAGGCTAGTATGCATTATGTATCAGACTTCACAGAACAGAGAATAAAAATCGATGTCATCTAAAGAAATAATATAGTACTATGATAGAAAAACCCTTTAAAACCTAAGGACAGCTAGTTGGCATTCTTAACTAATCCATGGATGTTTTGGCATAAGCAGTGGCTGCAAAACATGTTCTAAGATGATAAGATTTTGTTTCTTATTAGTAATCTGCTTAATGAAAGCCTAGAAAAAATAATGTACTCCACATGCCACAGATTAAAATAAGAGTGATAAAGATCTAAATGTATGAAACACAAAGCTTTTGCTTTTCAAAGTTCTGCTGTATTGGCTGTGTCTGGGGATCTCTAGTGTAAATCATAAGCTCATATATTTCTAATAGAGCTATGGTTGATCAATCAAGACTTCCTACCAAGGCAATGATGCTTAATCCTTCATATATAACAGGACCTCATCAAATGGGCACAAGAAACAATCTGAAGAGGAAGGATCTGTGCAATGGGTCTATCCCCAAATGAGCAAGAAGTTACAGTAATAAAAGCAGCCACTTATGGAATACTCTGCTAAGTGCTTTCCAGATATTATCTCATTTAATCTTACCAATAGCCTTAGACAGTACATTCTATGATTATCTTTATTTTATAGATGAAAACATTAGAGTTTGGGTCAAGAAAATCACCCAGAGTTGTTCAAAGAATGTCAAAACCTGGATTTAAAACCAGTCCTCTGATTTCAAAGCTCATTTGCTTTGTCACCATATTTCAGGTCATATATTTTTATTTGAGTTCTTCGCTTTTTCTGTGGGACTTAAGGTCTGACAGGTTTCAAATAAACAGGACGGTTATTCACTCTTGGTGGGAGTGTAAATTAGTTCCACCATTGTGGAAGACAGTGTGGTGATTCCTCAAGGATCTAGAAACAGAAATACCATTTGACCCAGCAATTCCATTACTGGGTATATACCCAAAGGATTATAAATCATTCTACTATAAAGGCACATGCACACGTATGTTTACTGTAACACTATTCACAATAACGAAGACTTGGAACCAACCCAAATGCCCATCAATGATAGACTGGATAAAGAAAATGTTGCACATATACACCATGGAATACTATGTAGCCATAAAAAGGATGAGTTCCTGTCCTTTGCAGGGACATGGATGAAGCTGGAAACCATCATTCTCAGCAAGCTAACACAGGAACAGAAAACCGAACACCACATCTTCTCACTCATAAGTGGGAGTTAAACAATGAGAACACCTGGACACAGGGAGGGGAACATCACACATGGGGGCATGTCAGGGGTTGGGGGGCTTGGGGAAGTATAGCATTAGGAGAAATACCTAATGTAGATGGTGGATTGATGGGTGCAGCAAACCACCATGGCACGTGTATACCTATGTAACAAACCTGCACGTTCTGCACATGAATCCCAGAACTTAAAGTATCATTAAAAAAGAAAGAAAACATTCATGGTAATTGTATTCTAGCATCTTCCCAAGAATTATTGTGATACATGAATTAGGGCTAAATTTGTTTTAAAATTATTTGATATTTCATATTAAGTATATTGCCTCAAAACAGAATATTTTAGGATTATTAGGCTTGCTCAGTATGACTCAATGCTTTTCTTCATACAAGGAGAATCAGTGACTGCTTGCCAAAATGTAGTAGACTCTAGCCTATTTATTATTATTATTAGTAGTAGTAGTTTGTTACTTTATTGTATTTTAGATTCAGGAGGTATGTGTGCTGGTTTGTTACATAGATATATTGTATAATGGTAATGGTTCTAGTAAAATCATCACCCAAATAGGGTATAAAAACACAAATTATCTATTGAGTACAATATTGGTTACAAACACAAAACTTAGAACACAATTCAAAATATCATCATTAAAAAAAGAAAATTCATGCAACTCTATTTTCTGGTTGAATAAAGAAAATAGTGGCACAAAACAAAGCTTAACAGTATGTACATTTATATTCATTGGGATTCTTGCTATATTGACTTTGCTCCCAATATTAACTATGGGGCTTTGAATGAATGTGCCCATGGGTTCCAGTGATTGGTGTGTTATTCCATCTGTACCATAGCAATTAATTACACAATACCCTCAGGTGGTTAAATTAAATAGTATCTTTGGGTGATTGAATTAAACAAGATCCTCAGGTGGTTCATGTGTACGTTAAAGTCAGAAAAGCACTAGTCCAGCCTAGCAATGCTTAAACATCTCCACCCATGCGAACGCCATTCTGTCTTTGGACAGATCTGGCTGTTAAAAAGTTTGAAGTAAACTTTGTCTCCAAATAGCTATCAAACTTAGATTAAAACTCTATGTTGAAGCTTTTATTAGGCAAATTGATACCAAAGTTTATATGGAATAACAAACATGGAAGAATGCTCAGAAAAACACACAAAGAAAAACAGCCAGACATTAAAACATACTATAAGTCTCTGTAATTAAAACATTATTATATCGGCACATAAGAAGACAAACACATGAGTGGAACAGAAAATAACCGAGAAATAAAGCCAAGTATATACATAAAATTAGTATATATTAAAGATTGTAGCTGAAATCATTTGAGCAAAGGTAAATTTTGCAAATAATGGTGCTTAGTAGCCATTTAGAAATAAAATTAGATCTATTCCTCATATTATAAGAATAATCTCCATATCTATAAAAATTTGAAATATGAAGCCATATCAATACCAGACCAATTCATGGTTGAATTTCTCCTCAACCTAGGGATAGGAAAATATTTTTGAACTATGACTCAACATCTGGCAGTAAAAAAGATAGTTGATAAGTAAGTTTGACTCCATAGATTTCTTTTTCTCATGACAAAAACACCAGAAACAAAGTCAGAAGACCATTAAGACATTAGAAGAAAATATTTGTAACATACATCACAAAGGTCTGCTATCCCTAATATATTAAGAACTCTTAAAGATTGAGATACTGAGGACCCAAAACCCAATAGAAGAATGGAATGAATCCATAAATAGACAATTCACAAAAAAAGTTATCAAACGGCTTTTAAACTATTGAAAGATGTTCAAATGTACACATAATTACATAAGTGCAAATTAAAACAACACTGAGGGCCGGGCGCGGTGGCTCACGCTTGTAATCCCAGCACTTTGGGAGGCCAATGCGGGTGGATCATCTGAGGTCAGGAGTTCGAGATCAGCCTGACAAACACGGAGAAACCCCGTCTCTACTAAAAATACAAAATTAGCCGGGCATGGTGGCGCATGCCTGTAATCCCAGCTATTCGGGAGGCTGAGACAGGAGAATCGCTTGGACCCGGGAGGCGGAGGTTGTGGTGAGTCAAGATCATGCCACTGCACTCCAGCCTGAGCAACAGGAGTGAAACTCGGTAAAAAAAAAAAAAAAAAAAAAAAAATCCCACCACTGAGATGTTATTTCCCACCTAACAGATTGGCAAAAGTTAAAAAGCATTATAATATATTCTGTTGGTAAGTTTGTGGGAAAATAGGTACTTTCTCATGTATTTCTAGAGGGAAGGCAAAGTGATACCTACAGCCTGTATGCAAGAAAATTTGGCCATATTTTAAAAATCTACATATGCACTTACTTTTAGACCCAGCAATAGCACTTACAGGAATTTACACTGTAATTACACCTCCAATAAAACACAGATTCTAAATAAACAAATAAAACACAGTACACAGTTTTTAATTGCATCAACAATAAAAGTGTAAGAATATTAATCATATCATTGTTTGTAATTATAAAATGTGTGAAACAACCTAAATGCCCATACATAGAAGAGTGGTGGGATAAACTGTGATACGTTTGTACAAGGGAATACGAGGCATCTGTAAAAAAGAATGAAGAAGAGCTCTATGACTGATGTGGAATGCTTTCCAGGATGTATTGATAAGTAAAAAATGAGAAGTGCAAAGAGCATCTGTAGTAGGCTAATTTTTTATGTAAGCATGAAAGGAAAATAAGAAAATAAACGTGTATCAGCTTATATGTGGAAAACAACACAGTAAAGATAAATGAGAAGTAATGAGACTGGTTACTTACAGGAAGTATGGAGGAAAGAATGGAGGAATGAGAATAGAATAGAAAGGATAAGAGGAGAATGACACTTTTCTGAGTACATGCGGTTTTGGTATAATTCTGAGTTTTAGAAGCTTGTTAATGTTTCACGTGCATAAAAATAAATAATTAAAATTAACTAGAAGAGGGAGGAACCAAAAGTGTAATGTAAACAGTAACAAATTAATCTAACGGCATTACAAATGTATAGCAAAGCCACATTGAAGTGGGTAGGGAATAAAAAAATAGATCCAAGTCAATTTGGAAAACAATCTTTTGACAATATGCATAAAGGTAAAAGACAAAAAGAACTGTACTCAAATATTGGACAATAGTTTTTAAATTTGTTTTTCACAGAAGTATGAGTTAGTGACTCTGAGACTACTTTATATGTAATCTGGAATTAAATAAATGTGTAAATATATTGTGGCTAATGAGGTCTGGGTTTTTCGTTGTCAGATAAAGAGTTACAAATAAGGGAAGAGACAAGGTTGGAATCAGCCCTCTGGTGTTGGACTGGAATGAGACGTATCGATATGAACTCATGGTTTCTAAAATATGTACGGGTAGACAGATATAGAAATTGATGTGTGTGCATGTGTGTGTGTGTGCATGTGTGTGGATACATACTTATATTTCCCGGTTCTTTATGCTAAGGGGGCCTAGAAGAAATGACACCTCAGAAGGAACAAACACACCTAACACCCAGATCTTCGTTTCTAAATGACATTTTCCAATAAGGGAAACAAGGATTTCTTGGAGAAATTGCTGATATCATAAAATGCGTCATGACTTTCCAGGACTAGGACAAGGAAAAGAAAAACAAAACAAGATAAGCCAGGAGCATCGTGTAGTGCCAGAAATTAAGCAAGTGCTTAAAAAATGATAAACATATGTCAAAAGGACTTTGAAGGGACACAGGAGCCAATCTGAAGTAATTTTCATGGTCAAATCTAGAGAAAAGTGAATTATAACTCAAAGAATAAAGCAAATATTACTATACTTATTTATACTTATACTGATATAGATACAAAAATCAGTTGAAAAAATTGTCGAACCAACAATTCAGTAGAGAAGGGGCAGCCCTTCCCTATGGTAGGATTTTAATTAATAAGTGTGAAAGAAATAATGCAAATGGGAAATCACCATTTGACTTGACAGATACATCACAGTAATTGTTGCAAACAGAAAGCACCAATAGATGCTAAAATTAGTGTGTGAAATTATGATCAGAAACGATATATTTACATAACTCAAAGTATCACCACACAAGATATCTATTAATTGCAAAGGGAAAAGTAGTAACTTTGCAGTGAACAAGCCTGGAAGACATTACCTTTAACAAATGATTGGAGTTAACCTCATCATTAAGAAAGCATGTTGATATCATGTGCCTTCTGATATGATGCACCTAGGAGGGTACTATGCTATGGCTGTATAATACTTGCTAAAAATACACAAGCCTGTATTTAATCATGAGAAAACTTCAGACAAGGCCCAACTGAGGGCCATTCTACAAAAATATCTGGCCAATATTCTTCGAAGATTTCAAGGCCTTGAAAAACAAAAACAATTGAGGAACTTCCCCAGTTGGTGAAGGCAAAGTATGAAATCCTCAGCTGTTTCTCCATGGTTGACTTTAAGCCCACTCATTTCCTGTTTACTCTCTAACAAGTTCCAGTTTGTGTAACTTCTCTTAAAGGAGTCTTTTGGGATGGGAAGCCTTAGTCAAAGTCTTAAAAGTCAAATATCTTAAAAGGCTAAAGTGAAATTGTCATCTCGTTTGTTTCTGATATTTGACTCCTATTAAAAGGGACTGAATTTCATAAAATTCCAAAGGAGTCATGCAATGTTGTTATCTCAAATTGAGGTGGGACACTTAAATAGGACAGAGGGGGTGACTGCCAAGCCACTGTTGCCATCTGAAGCTGCCACACTGTTTCCTAAATCCTGCATCTATAGTTGATGTGTTATGGAGTCTCCATATAGAATCTTGTATTCATTCCCATTATATTTTATCTTGCTAGATTTTACATCATTGGTGTAGCTTGTTGATATCTTTTTCTATTTGAAGCTGTAATCAAATACAAAAGCCATTGTGCCATCTAAAAATTTGTTGAGTAAGCCTTCTATACTTTCATCAGAGTCATGGATAAAAATGTTGAACAAAATCAATCTCCTTCTAGACTGATATCAATTATTACGTAGAATACATTTTCATCATACAAATTATTACTAACCCAACTCACCCAAAGTATCCATGTATTCAGTCAAGCATGCTCCATTTTGTTCACCAGGATATAAAAGGGAAATTGTCAAACGAATTTGGAGTTTAGAGTCTTTTTACCACAGTTCATGAATTAATGTCCTACATTTGTTGTTTGGCTGAGAAAAGGGTCTCTCACAGCATCTAGTATCACAAACGTCAATTGAAGTCTGTGTCAATCTGGCTTCATTTCTGCTCTGGCCGCCTTAGAATTATCACTGAACAACTGCCAACGTGTCACTCCAAATAGCATCTGGAGAAAGTAGAGACACTGACAAGCCAACAAGGTATTTTTTGTCCTAACTTCTGTTCCAACAAAAATGATGAGATTAAGTGAATGGGTACTTCATAATACAGGCAACTCGAGTTGCTCCTAGCCAGGAAACATAAGCTTTTATTAGCCCATTTATGCCTAGTGTTCTATTATTGGAACACATGTGGGTCTTTTAACACAATTTAAATAATTATATTCCATAAAATTTGTCCAAAGAAAGAAAGAAAGAGACAGTCGAGTCCACTGTTGTATATGCTGTTCAATGATTTTTAACTCATATGTCACTCTAGCCAATCTAAAAGTAGAAACTATTACAGGCAGTTTATGAAGACTCTTATCTTATTTTGGGTATATTTTTAAAAATCTAGATTGTTTATTGTATTATACAAAAAAATAAGGAAAGTCAAGTATGTTAATTTCTTTAAAATCACTTAAAATGTTTGTCCTTCCAGAAGACTTATGTGCTAAAACTCACAGCATGTAATTTCAGCTGCTGATCAGTGTATTCTGACTTATAGAAGCAAGATATTGCTGTAGCAGTCCCTACTATAGCCCATATTATTGACACTGGAGACATTTGGAGCTCTTAAGTCTGTTTGAAAATCTTTCATAGTTGCCTGCACTTGGGGCCCCCTCCAGACCTCGACCTATATATTTCTTCATCTGTGTTTAGTTGAATTGTTTAAAGTATCCTTTGTAATAAACGACTAAATTTTCAAGGCTGAGAAATTCAAGATCAAGTTGCTGCCAAATTTAGTTTCCGATGAAGACTTCCTTCCTGGCTTATAGAAGGCTGCCTTCTCTCTGCGTGCTCGCAAGATCTCTTCTTTGTGTGCTTAGTTTGTTTACTGTTCCTATAACTGAATACCTGAGACAGGGTAATTTTTAAAGAAGGTAAATTTGGCCAGGCGCGGTGGCTCACGCCTGTAATCCCAGCACTTTGCGAGGCCGAGGCGGGCGGATCACGAGGTCAGATCAAGACCAACCTGGCTAAAACGGTGAAACCCCGTCTCTACTAAAAATATAAAAAAATTAGCTGGTCGTGGTGACAGGCGCCTGCAGTCCCAGCTACTCGGGAGGCTGAGGCAGGAGAATGGCGTAAACCCAGGAGGCGGAGCTTGCAGTGAGCTGAGATCGCGCCACTGCACTCCAGCCTGGGCGACAGAGGGAGACTGTCAAAAAAAAAAAAAAAAAAGGTAAATTTATTTTTTTATAGTTCTGGACACTGAAAAGTCCAAGGTTTAGGGGCTGCATCTGGGAACTTTGCTCTTTGCTCTTAAGGCCTTGAACTGACTGGATGAGGCTCACCATATTATGTAGAGGAATATGTGCTTTATGCAAAGTAAAAATTAACAAAATTTATAAGAAATTAACTACATATGAATCATAGACCTAAATATGAAATGCAATATTATAAAACTACTGAAAGATAACATAGGAAGGAACTTATATGACCTGGGATATGGCAATTAATTTTTAGATGCAGCATTAAAGACATGATCCAAGAAAGACTTCAGTAAAATTAAAATCTTCTGCTCTGCAAAAGTCACTAACATGAAGACGAGAAGACAAACCCTAGAGTGGGAGAAAATATTTGCAAAACTATCAGATAAAGGACCATTATCCAAAATACGCAAAGAACTTTTAAAACTCAGCAATAACAAAACACACAACCCAATTAAAAACTGGACCGAAGGCCTTAAGAGACACCTCACCAAAGAAGATATACAGACTGCAGATAAGTCTGTGAATGTGAAAAGGTGTTCAACATGTCATCAGAAAATGCAACTAAAAACAATAATGATGTAATCCCAGCACTTTGGGAGGCCAAGGCAGGTGGATCACGAGGTCAGGAGATTGAGACCATCCTGGCTAACACGGTGAAACGCTGTCTCTACTAAAAATACAAAAAATTAGCCAGGCGTGATGGCGGGTGCCTGTAGTCCCAGCTACTCGGGAGGCTGAGGCAGAAGAATGGCGTGAACCTGGGAGGCGGAGCTGGCAGTGAGCCCAGATCGTGCCACTGCACCCTAGCATGGGTGACAGAGTGAGACTCCGTCTCAAATAATAATAATAATAATAATAATAATAATAAAGAGATATCATTACACAATGATCAGAATAGCCAAAATCCAGAGTACTAACAACACCAAATGCTGGCAAGGACTTGGAGTAACAAGAATGCTGCTGGGAATGCAAATTTGTACCACCACATTGGAAGACAGTTTGGCAGTTTTTTATGAAACTGAACATACTCTTACCATATAATCCAGCAATTGTGAAACCAATCCTATAAACTTTATAAAATTAATCAGGATAAGTGAAAATAAAGCAAGCTTGCAGCACACTCAGTGTTAATGATTAGGTCAGCTTACTCCCTGACCTGTTTCCTTACAGTTGTTTGTCTATTGCCCCAGAATCACATAAACCCTGTTACAAGATTATAGCTCTTCTCTTAACTGCTTTATAGATAAACATTGTGAAACATTAAGTTTTTCATCTGAGGTATTCTTTTGGGTCCTGCATCGTGGTGAAACTAACTGACACCAGCTGGTCTGAAGGATCCCATGAGAAGCTAACTCAACAAAGAATGCAGTTTCCACATCCTGATGATTTCATCTCCCTTACCCTGACCAATCAATTACCCCAATTTTCCACCCCTGGCTCTCCGTAATCCCCTTAAAAACCCCAGCCCAAAAACTCCTCAGAGAGACAGATTTGGGGGTTCCTCCCGTCTCCTTGCTCAGCTGCACTGTGATCATTAAACCCTTTCTCTGGAAAAAAAATATTATAAGCTTTTTAAAAAACAATAGTGGAAAAATAAAACCACAATAAAAATGGTGTATAGGTCTCATAAAAATTCTAGAAGAAAACCTAGGAGAAACTCTCCTGGACATTGTCCTAGGCAAATAATTTATGACTAAGACCCCAAAAGCCAAATGCAACAAAAACAAAAATAAATAAATGGGACCTAATTAAACTAAAAAGCTTCTATACAGCAAAAGAAATAATCTTTAGAGTAAACAGACAAACCACAGAACAGGAGAAAATATTTGCAAACTACACATTTGACAAAGGACTAATATCTAGAATCTGCAAGGAACTCAAACAAATCAGCAAGAAAAAAACAAATAATTTCATTAAAAATTATTGAAAGTGGGCAAGTGACATGAACAGACAGTTCTCAAAAAAAGATATACAAATGGCCAAGAAGCATATGGAAAAATGCTCTACATCACTAGTCATCAGCAAAATGCAAATTAAAACCACAATGAGATACTACCTTACTCCAGCCAGAATGACCATTATTAAAAAGGTAAAAAAATAGACATTGCATGGATATGATGAAAGGGAATTCTTATACGCTGGTGGTGGAAATGTAAATTAGCACAACCTCTATGGAAAACAGCACAGAGATTTCTCAAAGAACTAAAAATAGATACACCATTCAATCCAGCAATTCCACTACTGGATATCTACCCAAAGGAAAAGAAGTCATTATATCAAAAAATCACCTGCATGCATACGCTTATTGCAGCACAATTCACAACTGCAAAAATATGGAACCAACATAAGTGCCCATCAAACAATGAGTGGATAAAGAAAATGTAGTACATATACACCCTGGAATACTACTCAGCTGTAAAGAAGAATGAAATAATGGCTTGTGCAGCAACTTGGATGGAGCTGGAGGGCATTTATTCTAAGTGAAGTAACTCAGGAATGGAGAACCAAATACCATATGTTCTCATTTATAAGTGGGAGCTAAACTATGGGTATGCAAAGGCATACAGAGTGGTATAATGGACTCTGGCTATTCAGAATTGAGGAGGTTGAGAAGGGTGTGAGGGATAAAAAGCTAAATATTGAGTACAATGTACATGATTTGGGTGATGGGTACACTAAAATCTAAGCCTTCACCACTTTATAATTCATCCATGTAACTAAAAACCACTTGTACCCTCAAAGTATTGAAATTTAAAATATATTTATATACATATAAAGAAAAAGATGTATAGGCTTGACCCTTTTAAAATCTCTGCTTTAGAAACATTATATACTGTAATAAAAGAAAATAAACAGAGAAAAATATCTAGAGTAAATACTGTAGAGGGTTACTCTTCCTAATATGTAATGATACACAAGTTGATTAAAAAATACTGAAGCTCAAACAAGTCAATATTGGTGGGAATATAACTGGCACAAGCTTTCTGAAGGACAAATTTGATAATGTATATCAAATGTTTAAAAAATGGTACACCTTTGACCCAGTAATTCTGTTTCTGGTAATCTATTTTAGGAAGACAATATTCTAGGTAAATAAAATGAAATAACAGGAGAAAGCAATACAAAAAAGATCTTAGAAACAGCATCATTTATAAACAGGAAAATCTATATAGACAAGAGAAATGTTCAATAACATGGCAATAGTTAAATTATGTCAAATTAAATAAAATTTGAAAATCTCTAATTTACAATGTCAATATAAAAAAGAGCAAATAAATTATTACTTATGAAATAATACACATAAGAAGAAAAAAATGCCTATATACCTATGGCAAGATTGTGTGCTTTTTAATTTCCTTTAAAACTTTTTATCTCTACATTTGAAACTTTGTCCCATGGATGTTAACTGTCATGTGCTTAGTAAAAACGTCTAATTAAAATATACATTTAAAATTAAAAAAAAAATTTAAATGTGTTCATCCCACCCAGTGTGAGAATATATTTTAGGTTCACTGTTTAGGTAATGACTTTTTCTCAGAGTGATAGTATCCCTTTTCATATATTTCAAGATGGTGACAGGGAATATGGAATGTTACCAATTAGTTTTAGCTTGCTTCCTCAGAACAGCTGCAGGCTTTCTTCCTGGGCTCTTTCTGAGATATCCTGTGGTCTCTTTGTGGGACACCAGGAACACTCTGAGCATTGTAATCCTGCTCGACATTTCTCATCATCTCCATACCATCCCAGAAAAGTAATCATTCCTTCCTCTGAGCTATACAGCATTTCATCTTTCTGTTACCACGCAAGACAATGCATTTTAGTTATATGATTTCATGCAAAATGCCTCTGCTAAACTACATCCTTAAAGAAAACAGGCCATATATATTTTAAATATTGTCTTCACCATTTATCAGGATGATTGATGCATCCCAGGGCCTCAAAAGAGTCCTGAATGAATAAATGAATAAATGAATCAAGAACATCAACTCTATCACTTACTGTACCAATTGCAAGTCTGTGTATGGCAAGTAACCTCTCTAAGTCACCATGTACTTCTCCCTAAAAATTCAGGTTACAGAGACTTCCAGAAAGGCCTCAGAAGAGGGAAGCAAAATCACAGAGGTGAAGGCTTTTGGTAAACTAAATTACTTAAAAATATGCCAACGTATTGACTGATTATGCTCTTCTCCTAAGTGCCTTTACATACTGCTAAAAGAGACTTAAGAGCTAAAGCCATGACCATTTAATAATGGGAAAATATATGTGAAAACACTTGAAGCACAACAATAATCTACTACTTATATTTCTAATAGTAATAGCAACAGCAATAATAATACTTAAAATTTGCAGTAATATGTCCCACCTTATAAAATACTGCCCCCATTTCAGAAGGAGTATGAGGAATAGTTGAGTCCCTATAGAGTAATATATTTATGTAAGAGAGGAAAAAAAACCTCTCAAAAAATGCTGAAAGACTTCATTTATTATTCTTTGTTTCTCTAGCATTAATGGTGACCCAGGGTCTTTAAAGATTTTTGTGCGTCCCCAAGTACCCAGCCCACTACTAGCAGGCTTGTTGTCTCTCTCTCTCTCTCTCTCATTTATAAAGACTAGCCAATTGCCATGGATATCTATTATACAGAAAATTAAATTAAATGTATGTACATGTTTGGCACACACGGCAAGTGTACCTGGCATTCAATAAGTTTCTCTCAGTGAACCTGACAGTAATGCATTTGACTAAGATGAGCTTGCTTTTTAATTGGGAATAAAGAACAATTGGTGCTTAGTTCTTAAGTATAAGGTGTGGATACATGCAAACTCATTTTATTTTAAAAAGTGTGTAACAGTTGTATAACTTTTTCTCTTTGCCACTTTATTGTTAAATGCCATTATTTAGAAAGCCGCTTTGACCAAACCGGAACTGAATGTTATTTGGCAATACCTTAGAATAAGAAGAAAAGTTTTGCCAAGAAAATGAATCATTTAAACAAAACAACTAGGCAGTTTTAGCTACTTCCAAAGCAGCCAATATATACAAATATGTATGTGAATCTTTTATTCCTCAGTATAGTCTTGGCAAGAGTCCTACTTGCACACTTCTGTAGCATTTAGGAACAATAGGACTACACTTGTTTTAAAATATTTTATAAGTCAAGTTTATTCACTAACCTACTCAAGTCATCCAAATTAAAGTACAAATCAATATTTAAAAGCTATGTACTCTAATAAAAAATGGGTGACACACATAGAATAGACAATTCTTAAAAGAAGAAATATAAAGACCCATTAAACATGATTAGATATTCAGCCTCATTACAATCAAGAAAATGAAAGTAAAGATGAGACATATTTTTGCCTTTACATTTGCAAAGATATGATAGGAATAATAACTTCAACAAGTTGAAAAAGTTGTAGATACAAGATTATTTATATTATCAAAAGCAAAAATAATACAGAAAATTCATGACCATCAATAATGGATTGGTAAAATAAATTATGGCATATACATACCACAGGATACTTTGTGGCCATTAAAAATAGTGAGGCTAATTACTATTTTGTTGTGTGGGGTCTCCAAGACTGCCCTAAAGTTTGACCACTCAGTAAAAGGATTCAGAGAACTCAGAAAAGCTCTTCTACTCGTAGTTATACTTGATTGCAGCAAAAGGAGAATACAGATTAAAATCTACAAAGGAAAAAGGTGCATAGGGCCAAACCCAGGAGAAATGAGGTCCAGGTTTCCAGTTGTTCTCTCCCAGTGGAGTCTCATGGGCAGCACTGACTTTTCCTAGCAGTGATATGTGACAACACATGTGAGTGTGGCCGACCAGGGAAGCTCAGCTGAGCCTTTCTGTCTAGGGTTTTCGTTGGTGGTTAATTGGTGAAGCACCCACAGGACTAGCCCTAGCTTCTCAGTATCCAGCCCCCCACAGGTCAAACTGATACATGGTCCAAAGCCTCAGGCATACAAAAATGGGTATGCGCCATAAATCACATCGCTAGCATAAATTGTCTGGCATGGCCCAAGGTCTCAGATATACAAAGACACTCATTGGTGAGGACATTTCAAGGGCTCACAGGTTCTATATCAGGTGCCTATCAAGGGCCAGTAAAGAAAACCTTTAAAATAAGCAACCCCTAAGCCTATTGAATTAGCCATTTATTGCATAGTCTTCATTTCTTGTTTGTTTTGCCAAAATATACCACCAACAATACAAGCCATCAATAAAAATGATTGACTACACCAGCGTATGGGGTGGGGAGAGAAGGAAGATGAAGTGAAGACGGGTCCATGCTCCTGTGGAAATAATGCCAACATTGGCGATGAGTAGGTATTTGGTTTGTAAAAGTTCCCTGGTCTACCCTCTATCAGCTGTGCCCTCAGACTTAATTTTTACTGCAATCCACAGTATGAAATACATTTTACATAGTGACATAGCACATGCTTGTATAGGCATAGCCACACTATTGAGACAAATTTCATGAAAAAACTCTTACCTTTACTACATACAGTGCACTCTGATATTTTCCCATCCCATTGCATTCTTGTCTATTCTATATCCTTTATAAAATGTTACATGAGTTTAACCAAACTAATTTCACAATTTACTAATAGGTCACAACCTTCAGTCTAGTTTGATAAATATTATCTGTCATACTTCTAAGTTGCAGATATTCATTTTTGACATGGAAAGATTTTATCCTATATGGATAAAAATCAAGTTAGAGATTAATATATGTACACCCTATTTTGATTCATTTTATGTAAAATATTATAAATATACTCATATATGTGTGTATCTATAGAGAGAGGTGATGAAAGTTGTTCATTGAAATGTTAAAGATGTTAAAGTAACCTTTAGTTACTTTGTAAGTAAGTTTTTAAAGTGGGGCTTTGAATATTATGGTCTTTATTGAACTTTTGTTTGTTGAATTTACTTTTTGGCATGAGCATTTTTTTTCTTTACAAAAACAAAAAGCAATTTCTAAAATAAAAACAATATCTCAAAATAGCAAAGATAAAAAGAGTAATAATACTCATGCATGCCAAAACTTCATTTACTGAATTCATCAGGCAGAGTTACCAAGATTTAAAATCAGTTTCAATTTCCAAATATCTCACATTCTTACTTCAGCAAATTTATTGAGGATAAGTGAGAAGCAAATTGTCCCTTTTTGTGACCATCAAACCATTTTAAGCCATTACTCTTTTAGATACTAGTAAGTTATTATCCTTACCGGTGTTAGCTATAATCAAAGCCTAAATAAAATAATTTTGAATATAATTAAATATATAAAACTAGCAAACTTAAATGTATAACCCAGACATCCTTTTGTCTTGTCTTTGTTATCTGATAAAGGAAAATTATTATTAGTCAGTAATGTTAAACTTTGACAGTGATAATTTATTATCATTTGATAACTCCAAAACACTCGAGATTCTTAACTCATTCATGTGTTGGGCATTGGTGTTAGAGAATGCAGTTCACTTCTATGGAACTTAAGGAATAAAACTTCAAATTAATAATACTATAGCACTTTGGCAAATTCAATGTTAATTATATGACATTCTGCCCTTGTTAAAAAAAACTCTGAAACTCATATATGGTTTAAATAGCAATTATCTATTAGTTTAACTGAAACAAGTCATTTTTTTTCCATCAGAAAGAAAAGAACTTACACATAGCCATAGGAACTCATTTATTTTCAAGGCAAACCTGTGTCTCTGAAGCTGCCATTACCTTTCCCATCTCATCAAATCAGGCACTGGGCTAGGTGATACATATGAAATTGAGCGATTACAGAATTAACAAGCTTCCCTGAAGAAACAATTCCTGATCCTCCTATAATAGATTTCACATTCCTAGAAAACTTTACCACTTTCTCTTGTTTCCATTGTAAGAGATTTCTAGGTGGGTAAGGTCATGGTACCTTAACCTTTATTTGCATAGCTACTTTCCACCAAGATTACTTTCCTCTGTAAACACAGTACAATGGAATAAAAACCACATCCCCATGTAAAATTCTCCTTTCCTTCGTTTCTCCACACGTTAACCTTTTATGGCTGAAAAAGTGTACCTGATTATTAATATCCAAGTCTAACCTCATTTGTGTGTCTTCAAAGACCAACATGCACTCAGAAAGTATTTGAATTTCTCTTCATCTTGTGAAGATCTTCTTTTGTTGTGTAATTAAGGTGGCCTATAGCCAAACAAACATCTAACTGAATCTCATGGGAATTAATAAGCATGATTTTCCGATGTCTTGGGATTAGTGATAGTTTTTGAAGAACTGGTCTTCAGCTTAATAATGAAAATGTTGGAGTGTAACTGGATTACAATATTAAATGACCCAAGAGAATAAAGAAAGACCACATAACCCTAAGCTATATGTCACTTAAGGGTTATGATATTTACAGTCTAAAATGTAAAAATTGCATTGTAATTGTCACGATAAAATGATAAAAAGGGTTTTTGTGAACTGATAACATTACCATAAAATGTATTTCACCTTTGCATTTAAGATGATATGCTAACATCTGGTAGAGCAAATGTCACAGATTTGCTAGATTATAAAACAATGAGTTCAAATAATATTGCTGTGAAGATGAGTTGTACACTTTTACCTAAAGCTCATTTTAAAGGGTTACTCCCTCATTGCTTTTTTATATATAGTATGCTGCATAAAAATATAACAAATCTACCTGTATACATGTGTGTATTCTATAATTAGTTCCAAGTATTTAATGATCTGCTCTTAAATCTCCTCAGTTTATGGAAGGAAATTTAATAAACAAGTTTTTAAAGCTATAAATGAACGCTGCCAAAGAAGGCTATCTTTTAAAGTATAATCAACGCTCTAAAAATGATAATAAAGTTAGGAGCCATATGCCTGGAACCAATGGATTTCTTTTCACCTTTGACTCAAGAAAAAAAAACAAAAAGGGAGAGAGAGGAGGTTTCAGTCACACCGTATTTAATCCAATTTGCTTTGGGTTTAATCTCCAAAACAAGGCTGGTCTGCTAATTCCCAATTATAATGGCACATGTAATCAGAGTCCTCATTAACAAAGACTGACTATATTGTCTATTAGGAATGAAAATTTGAAATGCAAATTCAGCAAATCAAAACGTTAAATGAGCTTCTACCCAAGATGCTTAGAGCTCCCGCCAGGGCAGTCCATGCTGGCCGACACCTGCCCTGGATTTTCCCTCTAGCTGAATGTTTCCTTCGGTTCCAGTCTTTGCCTCCTAATTGACCTGCTTATGATCTCTGCAACAATTAACATATGCTTATTAGTAATGGCTGGTTAAAGATTTCAACTGCTGCAGTTTACGAAGTCTAATAGAGATGGCATGCCACAGGAAAGATGAAGCCACTATTTCCCTCATCAGCAAAGTCACAATGGTTAGATGCGTGTGGTAGAAATTACATGATTTTTCACACTGTCTGATGTATGGAAATTGGTACTAACTAATACTGGAAATCGCCGCATACATGACTCCAGGCCTCATATACACTGAGAAAGATACAAATATTGGTGAGTCCTTTTTCCCTTTGAGCAAGTAATTTCTTATTTGGGTTTAGAAAGAAGAGAGAGTGAAAGAACTTCTCTAACTGGGATGAATAACTAAGGAAATTTGGTTTATTCTGAATTCAGAAATCATAACTCTTTTCGTCAGAGTAATTTCACCAATGGGATGGAAAATTTTGAACATCACAAAAATCTTACATCACAAAAATCTTACCTGAGTAAGATAGGGTAAGGATGCCTTTACAAGATTATGTTCGGAGCTCATATTCTGTTCACCAAATACTCCCTTTTAAAAATTTATTTTTAATTTTTGTGAGAACATAGTAGATGTATGTATTTATGGGGTACATGAGACCAAATATCCCCTGTTAGTTTCTAGCTGGTACCACCAGATTTGAAAGGCTAAAATGTTGGAGGAGTAGCTTCCTTTTTTTTTAACTCCTAGCCATGCAATTTAGTGGGAGATACATTCCACTTTCTCTGAAATAGTTTTCTTTTATTCAGAATTAATGTTTGACCAATTATAAATCTCAGTTTTTACCTTCTCTTATTGATTAAAGAATAGTAGTTTGGGTGTTCCTCACCCAATGGGCATCTATACCTTGATTATATACCTTGGTGCTTGATCAAATGCATTCTTAAATCACTGTTTGTTATCTCTGTCTCTAGCAGGAGATAAAAGACTTGTTTTAAGTCTTAGGAGATCTTGGACTCTCATTTATCAACAATAGGATTTTAGATAAATGTATTACTTTTCTATTGCTGGGGAACAATATTTTACAAACAGAAGCTTGAAACACCATCCATGTATTAGCTCACAGTTTTGCAGGTCAGAAGTCTGGGTGGGGTGTAACTGAAGTCTCTGCTCAAGGTCTCAGTGGGTGGAAATCAAGGTGTTAGCCAATGTGACAGGCCTCTTCTGGGGTTTGGAGTTCTCTTCCAAGCTCATTAGTTGTTGGCAGAATGCATTTTCTTTTAGCTGTAAGAGTAAAGTTTATGTTTCCTTACTGGCTGTCAGGTAGGGGCTGCTCTCAGGTACTTGAGGCCTCTCACATCCCTTGCCACATGGCTCCCTCCCTCTCCAAGCTGGCATTAATTCACTGAAACCATATAGTCCTTCAAATCTCTGACTTTCTTTTCTGCAACAAGCTGAGGAAACTCTGCTTTTAGAGAGCTTATGAGATTAGGTCATGCCCACCCAAATAATCTCTCTATTTTAAGATCCATGGATAACCTTATCATAAGAGTAAAATCCATCATATTCACGGTCTTGGGGATTATGCAGGATGTGTACAACAGGGAGGTAAAAAAAATCTTGAAATTCTGCCTACCACAGCAAGTCACTTAGCTTCTTTTGGCCTTACTTTGCTAATTTACTCAATGAAAAGATTGGACTAGATAATCTCTAGCTTCTTTTTCACATATCTTCAAATGTCCAGGACCAAATCATTACAAACACAAGATTTACAGACACAGACCAACAGTTAATTGTTATACACTCAACTGACCTGTTTCCTTTGGTTGGTCAGTTGGTGTTTGTGTAAATTAAATGGTGATAGAACAAATCCTGTTACTAGATTTTATGGTCTGAATGTTCATGGTCACACAATATTCATATATTGAAATTCTCACTCCCAAAATGACGGTATTAGGAAGTGGGGCCTTTGGAAGTGATTAGATTAAGGAGGTGGAGCCTCCATGAATGGATCAGTGCCCATATAAAAGAGGCCTAAGAAAGGTCCCTCATTTCTTCTATCGTGTGAGGACATGAGGAGAAGGCACCATCTATGAATCAGACACAGAATCTACAGGCACTTTGATCTTGAACTTCTCAGCTTACAAAACTGTGAGAAATAAAGTTCTGTTGCTTGTGAGCCACCCAGTTTGTGGTGTTTCTTCATAGCAGCCCAAGCAGCCTGGACAAAGATACCAGGCTTTCTAGGTAAAATGAAAAGGAATTAATTTAAAAAATGAGAATGAGGCCAGGCACGGTGGCTCACCTAGCACTTTGGGAGGCCGAGGCAGGTGGATCACCCGAGGTCAGGGGTTTGATACCAGGCTGGCCAACATGGCGAAACTCCGTCTCTACTAAAAATAAAAAAATAAAATAAAATAAAATAGGCAAGAATGGTGGTGCATGCCTGCAAATCCCAGCTACCTGAGAGGCTGAGGCAGTAGAATTGCTTGAACCCAGGAGGTGGAGGTTGCAGTGAGCCTAGATCGTGCCATTGCATTCCAGCCTGGGCAACGGAACGAGACTCTGTCTCAAAAAAAAAAAAAAATAAAAAATAAAGAGAGAATGATACTTGGTCTCTCATTTTAATAAACAACAAAATAGCCCTAGAGACAAAATAAAAACCTATATACAAAGAACAGTTGTGAAATGAACTATATGCTTGTCCAGAGATGAAAGCTCAACATTGGTAAAGAAAATGTTGCTTGGACATTTTACTCTTTACCTTGTTCTGTCAGTAGTGTAAAGTTCTAACAAGGCAATGTCCATGGATTTTTGATGAAGTTCTTTTTCCAGAGTTACATGTTACAATATGTTTCAAAATTTATTAGATTTCCAAACAAAAATCCATCTGTTCAAAAATTCTGTTAAGAGTAATTCTTCTGTACACTTGCTTAACTCTAAAGTAGTCACATCTTAATGTATCTAATTTTCTAAGGAACAAGTCTGACTTCCAACTGCCACATAATCCAACTTCCAATCTTGACAATCATTTATGAAATCATTTGCTTTTTTAAATGAAATTTTATATAGGCATCTTATTTCTTTCTTAGAGCAGTATTTATTGCTTCAGCACTGCTTGACACAATTTTCCCATGTTGGGAAAGAGGTATATGAACTTCATAGCTTATTCAGGTGTTTGCATGTGTCTAATTTCAAAAAGTAAAGACAACAAAAATACATAATTCCTTTCCTTCTTTCTAGGCTCTAGAATTAAGTCAAGAAAATAATGAAAGTACTTAAAAGTTTCAAAAATGCTTCTTTGCTTGGTGTTGAGTTAGTTAAAATAACTGTGTTAATTTAAAAATTGGCCATTGCAACTTTATTCTCATCTTGGTTTCAAAACAAAAAAAAAACCCCAAAATTACATTTTAGGTATACGAGAGCAAGAGATAAGAGTATATATTTTTCCTTTCTTATGGGAATATAAATTTTGTTTTTCCTAACTGAAACAATGAACAAATCACTTTGGTGAGGAGGATTTTGGAATAAACTGCATTGAAAATATTTTTAGGAGGGCTTATTTACATGATACAACTATTAGGACCTGATCATTTATCACTGATTACATATATTGGGCTCTAAAAATATCAAAAGCCCAGGTGAGTATTTGAGCGCCTTAACTTTAATGTCTGAGTGGTTAAGGTTAGTTATATTTATATGAACATTTCTTTGATAAGCAGCCTGAAAGTCCTCCCTTTCAACATGTGGTCCTTGCTCCATTTGATATTCAGACTTAGTTCCTCCTTGAATTCAATTACTATAAATGAAAGCCTATGGTAGAACTGAGGGGTGGATAATAAAACTATCAACTTAAAATGGCTATATTTTGCTTTCAGTGAAAATTTTCCAGGCATCTCCACAATCAAATAAACTTATTGTTTTTTCTTTCTTTGATTGCAGTTGGTAAAATGTTTGGAAATTGTTATTTAGACCTAAGCATATAACTTGAATAACACAGGATTACAACCTCCTTTGTAAAAATGAGATGTTAACTATTTGAAATATTGTAATGCTATGTGTCCGTCTGTTTGAAAAAAGGCAGCCAGCCTTCTTGGAAATCTCCATGATGGAGAGTAAGGCTCTAGCTCTTAAAACACTGAATTCTGCATTTCTCTCCTGAATTTCAGAGTCTTTAGAGTCACACAAATATATGACTACGTAAAACATGCTTAATCTGTCTAAGATATACTTCCCCACCACCACCACTGGCAGAGTAGGGATGATTATAGTACTCACCACAATGAATTATGAGAATTTAATGAGTTAATACTTGTAAAACACCTAGTACAGTTCTTGGTACACAATAAATGTTTAGTAACTATTATAGTCATTATCGCACATAGTTAATCTGTCTAAGATATACTTCCCCACCACCACCATGGGAAATTAGAGATGACTATAGTATTCACCTCAATGAATTGTGAGAATTTACTTAAATGAGTTGATATTTGTAAAACACCTAGTACAGTTCTTGGTACATAATAAATGTTTAGCAACTATTATAGTCATTTTTGCAATGTTTTATTCTGTAATAAACTGTGTTGTGATTTTAGTTCACCTCAATATTATGTTAATTTTAATAATATATTTAAAAATATTTTAAATACTCAATATTCTTTTTTATGTACCAGTTCCATGAAACATTTCCATACCCTGGAAAATGAGGATTAAACAGATAATGTGAGCAAAAGTACAAGGATTTTCCTGGCACACATATGCTCACATGCATTCACTATTTTTATTCTTAGAATCACCCCAGTGATACCATCCACCTAGAGTTAATCACTCTCAACATTTGGGAGTATTTTTTCCAGACTATTTTCTATACTTAATAAGATATATATTACATATTTATTTGATTATTCCATTATTAGTCACTCACTTTAAAACATAAAAAGGTAATAAATTTTGAAAATGTAATTTGGAGGCAAAGTAGAAACAGTAGTGGTAGCTGGCAAGATTTTTTTTGATATCTCTATGTTTATCTCTCTTATCACTTATCTGTCATCATCCCTTTTGCTTTAGCTATCATTGTTGCTTATGGCCAAATCTTACTCTCTTTCCATTTTTTCCTTCTGTACTGCCATTAGGCTCTACTCCGAGCTACGGTCCTATCTCACCTGGTCTGCAGAAATAGCCTTCATACTGATAGTTTGATATCTATTTATGCATTTCTTTATTCCTTCTTCAAAATCCCTGTAAAACATATTTAATCCCACCTTTACCTTAAGGCCCTTTATTCCACTACTGAATTATCAAGTGGCATTGAAAAAGAGAAAGGAGGAGGAAGAGAAGAGAAAGAGAGTTCAGCTTAATAAATATTCAGATTCTTGTAGTCAGATACCGTCAGCATATGCTTAAATTTTGTGTAATGTTGAAAAAATAAACATTTTATTTATTTTGGAAAGAGGCATCACAATCTTTTTTTTTATTTTTATTTTATTTTTTTTGTAGACAGAGTCTCATTTTGTCACCAAGGTTGGCATGCAGTGGCACAATTATGACTCACTACGGCCTTGGTCTTCCAGGCTGAAGTGATCCTCCCACCTCAACCTTCCAAAGTGCTGGGATTACAGGCATGAGCCACTGCACCTGGCCCATAATCTTCGTTCTTTCAGTTGCTGAATGTCTTAATTTGTTTCCCAAAGATTCCTGACTGATTCAGCCACCGGGATTAAACTCTCCCTCAAGGCAGGTCGTTGACAGGTCACCATCTCTCCTAGTTCTTTTCTTTTCAGTGATGCCCATGGAACATAAACTTTCAGGTTAAACTCGAGAGCTTGCTTTTTTTCCATCCTCACCCACTTACCTCTACTCCTTAGCCCAGAGGGTGGATGGAGCACTGTGGGGAAGGGAGGTCCCTATCTTAAAGGCATGCTTCATCCTAAGACTTTGGCTTGTCTTCTCTCGCCCAGGGAGTTAGAACATTTCAGGTCAGCACAACCAGAGAATGTGTACTCTCCACC
The DNA here is from genome assembly GCF_000001405.40 of Homo sapiens. Taxonomy (NCBI): domain Eukaryota; kingdom Metazoa; phylum Chordata; class Mammalia; order Primates; family Hominidae; genus Homo; species Homo sapiens. The sequence goes on along the minus strand of NC_000013.11, from coordinate 78,358,847 downwards.
CAGTTGTCCCACACTTAAGCTGGAAACTTTTCCTTTTGTTTGAGGATTCATGCAACTGATATTTGCCTGAGTCAGATACTCCTCCACTTTACTTCACCAAATAACACGTACTCGAAATTTAAAACCACATTTGATCATCATAATAATATTGTTCACATGTTTGGCTCTAGAGATTTCTGCTAATTTAGGCAATAGTCTGAGGATCATCTGCCACATTGGTTCTCAACCTTGGCTGCACATTGGAAATACGTGGGGGTCTTTAGAACCTACTGATGCCTGGGTCCCTCCTCCAGAGATTTTGATATAATTGGCCTGGGTTGAGGTGTTGTAAAAGCTCCCCAGGTGATTCTAATTGCAGCCAAGTTTGAAATTCATTGATGTAAAGAGAGTCTCAATATATGGAGAATGAAATCAGAGGTAGCCAAACCCAGCAGGCCTTTCCTAGGGTTTTTTCCAGCTCTACCGACCCATGCTCCTGATTGCCTGCACTTCAGCCACTCTGGATATCTCTTGGTTGCTCTAATTCCCCTCACTCTTCTCACTTAGCCTCTTTGCACATTTGAGTCCTTCTACCTATGTCAGCATCTGCTACCTGTCTACATCAATCTCTAGTTAATTCCTATTTAGCTTTATATATATCATTCCAATTGTAATTTTCTAGAGAAAATCTTACTTGATCTCCCTGGCACTACTGTTACAGGACAGAGAAATGTGTTACAGGAAAGGGGTTTCCATCCAGATCCCAAAAGAGCATTCATGGATCTCGCACAACAAAGAGTTCAGGGCGAGTCCACAGTGCAAAGTGAAAGCAAGTCTACTAAGAGAGTAAAGGAATAAAAGAATGGCTATGCCATAGACAGAGCAGCCTGGAGGGCTACTGGTTGCCCATTTTTATGGTTATGTTTTGATGACATGCAAAGCAACGGGTGGATTATTCATGCTTCCCCTTTTTAGACCATATAGGTAACTTCCTGATGCTGCCATGGCATTTGTAAACTGTCATGGCACTGATGGGAGCGTAGTAGTGAGGATGACCAGAGGTCACTCTTGTGGCCATCTTGGTTTTGGTGGGTTTTGGTGGGTTTTGGCCAGCTCCTTTACTGCAGCCTATTTTATCAGCAAGGTCTTTAAGACCTGTATTTTTTGTTGATCTCCTATCTCATCCTGCGACTTAGAATGTCTTTACCATCTGGGAATGCAGCCCAGTAGGTTTCAGCCTTGTTTTACCCAGCTCCTATTTAAGATGGAGTTGCTTTGGTTCACACAGCTCTGACACTACCTGTGCCCTGCCAAGTTCATCCCCTTTATAATAATTCACCGCATTGGAAAGGCAGAATAACCAAATGATATAGCGTCTACCCCTCGATGCCAGACTGCTAGGTCCAAGCCCCAGTATCATCACATCCCAGCTGTTAGATGTGGACAAGTTATTTAACACCCTTGAGCCTCAATTTCCACTTCTATAAAATGCAGATAATTACTGTATGATTCTTATAAGGTTGCTGGGAAGATGACATGAACTAATACACAGAGAACAGTTAGAATGGTAGCTACTGTACAATAAGCACTAGAAAGTATTCCTGTTTAGTTTTAGTGAACTAATTCATTGTTTATGCCTACTTTTCTCTCTTTAGAATGCAGGTGTCATGAAGGCATGCCCATAACTGTTGTTTTTCTTTTCTCTGTTTTATTCCTAATGCAATGCATGTATTATAAATACAATAAATTTGTATTGAATAAATTAGTAGATATATAATGCAAGTAAATAATTATGGACATGTTTCACATCATCTTTCTCACAGTGTTGTCTTATAAACATTCTCTTACCATGCAATGTTCTCCAAATGTAGGACTTTTAAAGTCTGAATAATTGAAAATGAATAATTTCCCAATGAGGAGGCTGTTTCTAAGTTTTAATAGAGCTTCTAAAATACAACAATGTAATTTTTCTTCTCCTAACATTTTTTATCTTGAAGAGCCAACAATTAGAATGAAATAAATGGCCAAATGTTTAATTGCAGAACTGGGCAGGCTACATAATTCAAAAATTAGGTAATTGGGTTTTGAGTAAATATAAATTGATGGCATGTTGTTAGTGTGTAAGAAATATTAAATAATAATAACACCTGTATAAAGCTTAGTATTTTTTATATTTCATAAAACTAACCATTAAGCATCCACCTGAGGGTCTACGGCCCCTTAACTTTTAATTGAAATTGATTTTATGTTTAATTTATGATTGCTCAAAAATATTATAAAATGTAAGGGAGAAATGCAACCTCATAAATCAATGTGTTCTGGATTGCCAGTTTAATTTCCATACTGATGTGGTGCCCAGGCTGGTAGTATCTATGGCAAAAAACATAAAGTCATCACTGGATAAAGGGTTGGATAGATTAGACAAGAGTCAAAACTAAAGGGCTTCCTCTCATTAGCCTCCATGGTAGGAAGAATAAACATAATGATGAACTAGATTTTTGATTTTGGTTTATACTCCATTCTTAATGGCTACGTGTATTTGTGACAACTTTTGCCTTTATTACAGTTGATGGCATATGAGACTGAGTAGTGAATTTGGCCTCCTGATAAGAAATGTAACAACTATGGATTTCAGACATTTTTATGTAAGGGAAAACACTATGCCTTCTAATTATAAAATAGAAATTTACTTTAGTGGTGACTAGATTTGGGAATTGTCATTAAGCAGAAAACTTCATATACATATATGTATGAAGGTATTAAAAGGAGCTAAGTTTTTATTGGTAGTGGTTGTTTTTAATTTATGGTATGTTACTATGTTCAATATATTCTTGTGAGTCAAATTTGAAATTCTTTTTGGAAAAGGAATAGCATAAACAGACAAAAAGCAGAAATTCTGGAATCAAAATGGTTGGCTTTCTCTTTTGGCTCTGCCACTTAATAGCTGTGTGACCTTGGGCAAATCGCAAAATGAAATACAGTTGACCTTCAATAACAGGGAGTTTGAACTTCTCTGGTCCATTTACATGTGGGCATTTTTCAGTAAATACAATCGGCCTGCCATCTCCAGAGATTCTGCATCTGCACTAAATGCAGATCAAAATTACAGTATTTGCCAGATGCAGAAGTACAGGAAGACAGAGAACCAACTTTCCACATACTCAGATTCTGCTGGGCTGACTGTGGGACTTGAATATTCAAGGATTTTGGTATGGGGTGGGGTGTGTCCAATCCCCTGGTGATACTGAGGGATGACTGTTAATGCACACAAAGTGTTTCCCATCATGCCTGGCATATAGTAAGCAGTCAATATGCTAGTTATTCTCACATAATTATGACAACAGTGGTGACAATAATATTGGTACTACCTTGTAACAGAAAATAATTTCAAGTGTTTATAAATAATAGCATTTATCTTAAATTTTATTTTACTTTTATTTCCTTTAATTTTTGAATGCTTATTATGTGCCATACATGTTTTTAAACATTTCTCATGTACTGCTTGTTTAACAATCACAAACACCCATTAAAGTGGGAGCTGGCTGGTCATAGTGCAGTGGTTTTTACAACTAATTGATCACAAACAGTTACAAATTTCTTTGTTCTTTTTCCAATACCACTGTTCCACTTGACTAGCCAATAAACAAACATATGTGCTAATATACTTTTTATTTTACAAATGAGGAAACTGAGGCATGAGATTAAGTGACCTAACCAAAATTGCAGAGGTTGTAATATAAAATACCTTTACTGGTCTTCACTCAGCCATCTTAGTGGATTAATCCACACCCCCCTCCATCTGAAAAATGCCGGGGCAGATAGCCACAGCATTCTGAATGCTCAATCTGGAAAATGAGCTCCTCTTTGCTTGTGCCTTGCTGCACCCACCAATTATGGGACAAGCTTTCCAAGAATCAGGTGGTTTATTCCCAAATCTGTTAATGTGATTGTCCTTGTTAATGATAGCATATAAATGAACTGTTGCTTAAATACTACACAAATCAATACAAAGGAATTGAGAAAAGATAGAAAATTGTTTCCATGAAAAGTAAATAGCATCTTTTGTTAACAACTATTCAAATTAGGGGTAGGTGAGACAAATGTACAGATGGGAGAAACCATCATAAAACTCTAGCAGGAGTCTATATTCAGATTGTCTTTGAATTCTACAGCTACTTTAAAGAACCATAACAAGGAACCGTACATGTGCCTTATTGGGGTGGTTGGGGCAAGACTGGAGACACACTCAGTGAACCTACTCTCAAGGACAGGAATTGGCCCTATGCCCAAGAGGGATAAATTGAAGTATCTGTAGTACTTCATGCATCATTTTTATGATTTCCTTCTTTAATCAACTTTTCTAATTCATAAACCAACCACTAGTCATAATTGTGTCAGAGAGACAGGAATATACACAAGACTATAAAAAGCTAGAGGTAATTATTGAATCTATTGCTTTGTAGTGAGAAAGGAAATGTTAAATTATAAAAGTAAACAAGAGGGTCTCATATATAATAATTTTTAAAACCTACTAAGTTAACAATAATAAAAACAATAAGAAGTAAAGCATACTGGGGTAGATATTGAAAGTAAATGTTAAAAGAATTACGATAGAGAATTTTTGCACTCATAAATAAAAGACTAATACTCCTTAAGATCAGGTAGGAGAGCTTTTGTGTTCAGCCTCTGCCTATTTTTCGATCTCCTATCACTCTCCGTTTCTTTCCACCCTACATCCCCACTTGGTTTACGGAATGAATTATTTGTTAGCACTCAAAGCACAGAGTATCATACTCTTCTCTATTTCTATCATATGTTTAAATCAAACGATCTTTGTCAAGGGCCAAATGTATGCCCTACACTAGATTAGGCTCTCAGAACATGGCATTGAGCCTCATAAAACATTCATTCTGTCACTCATCCACATATCAATCTCTATCCACCCCCCCATCCATCCCTCCATTCTTTCAATACTCAGTAATTGATTGACATAAACTAGTGTCAACTATGAGTTGATATATTAGTTTTCTATTGCTACATAACAAATTACCAGAAACTTATGAGCTTGAAAGCATCTGTTCTTCAGCTTATATTTTTGTAGCTCAGAAGTCTAGAATGGCCTTCGTAGGTTCTTTGCTTAGTCTCACAAGGCCAAAATCAAGGTGTTGGTGGGACTACATCACCTTCATAGAGCTCTGTGGAAAAATCCTCTTCCAAGCTCATTCTTTTTGGGTAGAATTCAGTTTCTTGCAATTGTAGGACTGAGGTCCTAGCATCTTTCCTGGCTTTCAGTTTGCAGCCACCTTTAGGTTCTAGAGGCTGCACCTATTCCTTCATGAGTTCCTCTTATCTTCAAGAAAGTAGACACACAAAATCCTTCTTAAACTGAAAATTTCTGACTTCCTCTTCTACAACTGGCCAGAATAAAATTGTCTGCTTTCTTAAGGACTCCTCTGATTAGGTCAGATCCACCTGGATAATCTCTCTTTCTTAAAGTTAACCGTGCCATACAACAACCTAATCATAGGAGCAAAATCCACCAAATTCACAGTCCCAGGGATTATGAAGGACATCAACACAGCACAATAGGGTGGGAGGCAGGAAATCATGAATCTTGGGGATCTACCACAGTTAAGCATTACGTTGGCTAATTCCATTTGAACTTATGTGGCTTATTTTTATGTCCCCATTTTGCCTATATGTGTTCCTCACTTTGTTGTAGTATCATATATATATATGACATATGAGGTTGTTACATATATGATATATAAGGTTATTTTATGTGTATATGATATTACAACAAAGTGAGGAACACATATATATGAGATACTACAACATATCATATATATGATACTAGTATCATATATATAAAATAACCTCTCCAAAATGTCAATGATACACTTTTATTTGTAAAAAACTTGTGTATGTATATATATATTTATATAATGTATATAAAAATACATTTTACATTGTGTGTATATGTAAGAAGTATATATGCAACATACAAATATATATAAAATATACTGTAGGTATGTAATTATTGTGTGTATATATATATATTTGTATACACACACACACATACACAAAAGTTTACCACACACATTTTGGAAAGGCTATTCTGGCATGAATGAGTAGGGTGAATTGTGGGAGAAATTGTTTCCCTGAAGGCAGGAAAACCAGTTGAGAGGTTAGGGGATGGGAATGATGAGGTGAGTCTAAGACAGGGCAGTTCCAATATGCACAGAAGACAAGAGATGTTGAGGAGATATAATCAATAGTGCTTGATTTTTAATTGGATTGGGGGCTGGCAAGAAGGGTAATTTAGGATGATACCCAGATTGCTGTTCTCAGTAACTGGATAGGGTGATGGAATCTTTTCCTGATGATAAGGAATACAGGAAAGAAAGTTTTATTTATTATCAGTAAAAGGAGGAAGGGGAGGAGTTATTCCTAATCCAACATTGGGCCAGCTGAGTTCTAGTTGCTTAAGCAACTTGGAGATCCCTAGTAGATATTTGGGGACATAGGTCTTAGGCTCAGAAGAAAGCACTAGGATTCACATATAACTTTAGGAAATATATTAGAGGCAGTGGAAATCACAAGAAGGGTGGACATGTCCTACGATAAATAGAAGAAGAAAAGAGCTGGGCCAAGAACAGGACACTGGGGGATGCTGGAATTTAAAGTATGAGCAGCAGAAGAAAATGAACAAAAAAGGGGAAAATATGTGCAGGAAAAACTCGCCTGGATAAACTGTAGGGAGAAAGGAATTGAAAGAAGAAGGAGGGGGCCAGGCACGGTGGCTCACACCTGTAATCCCAGCACTTTGGGAGGCCAAGGCGGGCGGATCACAAGGTCAGGAGATCGAGGCCATCCTGGCTAACACGGTGAAACCCCGTCTCTACTAAAAATACAAAAAAAATTAACCAGGCGTGGTGGCCGGCCCCTGTAGTCCCAGCTACTCGGGAGGCTGAGGCAGGAGAATGGCGTGAACCCAGGAGGCGGAGCTTGCAGTGAGCTGTGATCGCGCCACTGCACTCCAGCCTAGTCGACAGAGTGAGGCTCCTTCTCAAAGAAAAAGAAAAGAAAAAAAAAGAGAAGGAGGTTATCAACTTTATCACAGGCAGTAGAGGTTTTCATGATGATGATAAATAATAACAGTTATATTTATTGAGTGCTCGAAAAGTATATTTTGCTGTCATGTTAAGAACAAATTATTAATTCTTACAACACATCCAGAGGTATTATGATAGGTATCATCATTCCTGCTTTATATATGAAGAAACCAAGGCCCAGGGAACCTAAGTAACTGGCAGAGGTCACAGAGCCAGGTACGAACCCATGTTGCGCCGGGATTTAACTCAGAGAAGTCCAATACCGAAACACATAATCTTTTTAGCACGCTGTACTACTTCCTTACTGCTAAGTCAAATAAGAATTTAAAAGAGTATATTTCACTGGCAACTATGAGATCCCTTTTTAAGTAAGAAAGTTATTTTTTTTATTGGCCCCGGGGGCCAGCATGTTTATAGGTAGCTGTATGTTGGGGGTTTCAAAGATCTGGACACTAGCGTGGTTGAAATACAAAAGTGAGGTAAATTTGACAATGCAAGCTATATTTTCAAGGAGTTCAGCTACAAAGTGTGTGTGAGAGATAGTAAAGAAAGGATGGGCAACGTTAAGAGAAAATCTTTTTGTTTTGAATATTATTGTTGGTGGTATTTTTAATTATAACTTAGCACATTATGCTAAGTTCTCCTGTTTTGAGGAGAGATCATAGAGTTAGGACTCACACATAATTAATGCTAACTCAATCCTAGTTCCCTGTGTGACTTGATGCAAGTTGCTTAAGCTTCTTGAGTGGCTTGATAATAAGGGTAATAACATCTACCCTGTATAACTTATAAGATACTTAATAAGTTAATGTAAAGTGCCAAATATTATATGATGTTCATAATCACTTAGATACCCACCCAACTTTAAACATTTTGAAAGCAGCATTATTTTTCTATTCCTATAGCCAAATACAGAACAGGTACTTAATGAATGAATGAATAATATGCGTCAGGTATTTGGTATCTGCATCTCTTCTTTTGATGGTGAGGGATGATTTTGCATCCTTCTCAAAGCTGCTTCCCCTAAATCTTATACTGCTGAGCACAGAATGTGAACTCAATAAAGGTTTCCTGATTGACCTAATGAAAAGCTAGAAGCAAGATTAATGTCAAACATTGAGTATTAGTCACATGTAATGGGTTTATCATTGTGCCAGTAAGTTGGTATTTATGCCACAAATAGGTGAAATAGATACCCAGAATATAATAATGAATCCTAGTCACAGTGTAATAGTGTTAGCTAAAGATGAACATGTAAACAGAGAGGAAGAGAGTTACTATTATTGGTTGTTTTCCTCTAGTTGGCTTTATATAGAAAAATTTAACAGAAAATATATTTTTATGGTCATGATCAAATCAGGAGCAGGCGATATACTTGGAAGTTCTAATTTAATCCACCCACATAAGCAGCAGCTGTGGGATACCCAGTGCAACTTCCCCACACCACACATGGGACCCAATTATTGAGCCACAGGGAATTGAAATAATCAAATCTTAGGGTCAAGTTCAATTAAACCACACATAGGAAGATATGGCAGACTTTGTCAAGGACAGACAAGATGAAAAGGAGTAGAATAATTCCATCAGACCTCATGACACCTAGGCACACACACCCCACACTCTTGTTCATAGTGTCATCTTTGAAAATTGAAGACAATACATAAATACAACTAAAATTGATACCTCTAAAATCCTTCTTTGGATACTCATGTTTTCACTTTTATTTTTTGCTTACTTGTAAAAGAATGTACTTTCTTGATCTACTATTACCTACTGTTTAAATTGTATAATAGTTTTTTGTTAAGATACCACCATTCCCTCATCTTGGGATTTCTGGGGTCTTCCCCCTTTTTTTTTCCTTCCTACATTCAGTTAGGAAGCAGGTTCTTTTACTTGAACCTTTTGAAAAATTTTTACATCTGCCTTTGAGTGCTCTCTTTGCACAGTTACAGGTTCAGTTCTATGCCACAATACTCCCAGCACTTGACATATCACCTAGCATTCAGTACCTGGAAGACACAATACATGTCTATTGAAGGTATGAATCACCTCTTACTCTCTATCCATTCTGCCGCTACCCAAGTTCTTATCATAGCTCATTTAGATTAGTGCAACAAACTGTCTACTTTCTCTATCTCTAGTACTGCCATAGCCAACTTATCTTACATATAGAAGTCAGAGTGATCTTCCTAAAATGCTTTGATTATGTCATCCTCTGATTAAAATTCTTCAACAAATTCCCATTATATATGGATGCAAATCCAAACTTCATAGGAAGATATTTTAGGTTCTCCATGATTAAGTCACTGGCCACGTCTGTTTATTGCTTATTACTTCTTTTTGTTTCTTTGTTCCTTGCTCCCCTTCTTCATCTCACCCTGAATCCTGGGTTTCAGTCACACAACAGATTGCAAGCTCCTGGTGTTTCCCATGGTTTCTGTGTTCCATATCCCTGTATTCATGCTGCTTCATCTTCCTGAACCTCACAGACATTACCGGTCAGCAGGAAGATCATTTGCCCACTTTTCAAGACTCAACTCTCAACTCAAGCCTCACCTCTTCTTTGTAACAGATTCTATTCCTCAATACATATCTCCTGTATATCTTGTCTAATCTTCTGTCAGAGCATTTGTAATACTAATTTGTCCTTGTTTTTATTACTTTTTTACTTGCTTAAGTTACTTTTGTTACTTGTTCATATTCTGCTTCCCTAACTACACTCTAAATCATGACACCAGAGACCCAGATGGGTTCATTTTTACATTCACAATGCCTAATATAGAGCCTACGTATATAGGAGACATCCCATAAATGTGTGCTAAATAATTCAAAAGTTAATTGTTTATTACTAAGTTATGACTGTTTGTTGAGCTAAAATTTAAGCTTGTAACTAGAGATCATACCTTATACCATTTGAAAATCCCCAAACAGCATTTTTTTTGTACACAGTAGGAGCTTAATATTGTTTATAACCAGGATGTTGACCCTGATTTTGTTTTTCTATAAACCTCTGAAAATGTGACATGCTCATTTTCCCTCAAAGGACAGCTAAATTTAGTATAAGGATCAACACTCTTGTAGTTTCGGGTAAAACACAAAGAGCTCAATACTTGTATGTAGAGGAATGGTTGCCTAATTAATCTACATTGAGTAATTAAACAACATGGGACTATCCTAAGTAAATGTGAATGGGGTACTGTCTCTGATAGAGAAATCTTTTGGCTTTCTCCAGTGCCACTGACAAAAATTCACAGTTTCTGTCAACATTCTAACAAAGAAACCCTTGGCTAAAAAATCAACAACCAGACATTTTGATAGATTAAACATATCCACAAATCCCTTGCAGTTTCTCCCATAAAGATGTAGAATCTATTCTCCCAAACCTTACACCTGGACTGTCCTTATTTGTGATATGCTTTGACCAATAGAATAAGATAGAAATGGCATTGTGTGAGTTCAGGAGTCAAAACCCCTACTGCTCCTGAACTCACACAATGCCATTTTTTTTTCCTTTTGGAATGTTACCCAGGGACCACCATGTATGGAATCCCAGGATGAAAGGCCACATGGAGAGACAGCCACCCAACAATCCCAGCTAAGCTCAGGCCCCAGCCAAACCATCGGCTGATGGCAAACACATGAATAGGCCCAGGCAATACCAGCAATCACCCGGCAACCCATAGAAGAGTGAGAAATAATAAAGCATAGTTGCTTTAAGCCAGTAAGTGTTAAGGTGGTTTGTTATGCAACGACAGACAACTGATAGAGGCATGGATACAAATGTCAGCTTCTGGATTCCTTTTCCTTAAAAAGTTGAGGTGTAAACAATCAGGTCTTTTTAGTGACTCCAGAAATGCTGGGTAGAAGGTTATTCAGGGAGATTAGGAAAGCATTTCCAGCTCATTATGACAAACGACAGAAATAGAAAAGGCTTTGAGCAAGCACATGTTGATACACATTGATTTTATAAATCTTCAAGTCCTGGCAAACACAGATAAAATATAAGACTAATCAAACCAACGTGAGAATCATCTAAATACTATGCTTCCAAAATTAAAACAGTGAAAATTCAGTCAAAAATATTTAAAAACTAGTTAAAAAAAAAAAACCCTGGAATTGTGAAGAAGAAATGCTGTGAAACTAAAATTCATTAATATTCAATAACCTCTACTCAGCTTCTCCAAATGTGAAGGAGTCAGCAATGGGGTCAGCTGTTTCCTTGAACCAGAATTCTGGTTCATTCACAAATGCACCCCCTTCGCCATCAAAAAACTAAGAAAACGTGAAGCTGACCAGAGCCTTAACTAAGATTAACTAGAAAATTTCTTAGAAAAATCTGTGCGCCACAGTTTCTCCTTATGCCATATAAAACATGCACAAATAAGGCATAAAAAATCCTCTAGGCTCTGTAATTAGCATTTTGCTTCTGTAGATATTTAGAATTAATTATAAAATGTTTTCAAAAAACACAATGCATGATAAATTTTGTAGATATATTTGAATCTTAATATGTTTAAAAATGGCGGCCGGGTGCGGTGGCTCACGCCTGTAATCCCAGCACTTTGGGAGGCCGAGGTGGGTGGATCACCTGAGGTCAGGAGTTTGAGACCAGCCTGACCAACATGGTGAAATCCTGTCTCTACTAAAAAGACAAAATTAGTCAGGTGTGGTGGCGCATCCCTCTAATCCCAGCTAATCAGGAGGCTGAGACAAGAGAATCGCTTGAACTTGGGAGGCGGAGGTTGTGGGGAGCCGAGATCCCGGCATTGCACTCCAGCGTGGGCAACAAGAGTGAAACTCCTTCTCAAAAAAAAAAAAAAAAAAAAAGTCATATGCCCAGGGCTCAACAATTTACAAAGCACTGGTACATTCTTGATTTCACACACCATCATGGGTGTGGGGATTAGTTTCTCATCAAAGTAAGAAAAATGGCACTCAAAGAGTTAGCAATTTGTCTAAATGTAAAATAAAGGTCATTCAGCAAGGAAAATAGAATTAGCACCCAAATATTTTCTTCTTAATCCCCAAGAAGTGGATTACATAATGATCCATTAATAGCTAATATTTATAGCTCATATATGCCAAGTACTGTTGCAGTGATTTATATATATGTTAATACACTTAGTCTTCATACGACAGTCCTAGGAGGTAAATATTATATGTACCCCCATTTTACAGAGAAAAAAGTTGATATAGAGGTAGGTGTATTAATTTGCCAATGGGTGCACAGCTGGTAATGACACAGCTGGGATATCAGCCCTTATGGCCCATCTTTAGAGTGTGTGCTCTTAAACCACTGTTTAAGCCATGAAAATGAGTAATATTTATTTTTATTTTTTAATTTTTAAAAATTTGTATATATTCATGGGGTACAGGGGCAGTTTTGCTACATTGACATATTGCATTGTCCTGAAGTTAGGGCCTTCAGTGCATCTATCACTGGAGCACCTACGTTGCACCCTGGGGCCCACAAATCCACTTCTGATGTTTCAGTAGCTCTAACAGTCCCACATTAGTTGGACAGAGACTGACACTGCATAGATGATAGTTATATCTCAAGGAGTGAAAGAGGTTGCTGTAGATCCTTCTCCAAGTGCCATATGAAAAAAGGTAATGTCGATATCATGGTACCATTATGTTCATGGGAATCTCAACTCAAATTCCAGGGGTCTCCAAAGGCCAAATGAAGCCACTAAAGATGTATCAATTGATTGCTCAGGAATGATTACCAAGACACTAAATCCATAGCTTCTCACCTTCATAACTGACTTGGTTTTGTTTCTTCCAAATGTGTCTTGAAAAGAGATCTTAAGGAGATATGAAAAATGGATAATTGTATTGTGACGTGTATGCACCCATTTTGGCACTCAGCAGACAAAATATGACAGAATAGACAGAATATGTATCTGTCATTGCTTTTTATATTTGATTTTTCCTAATCTTAAAAAGGCAGAAAATCTTAAAAAGGAGAAAAAAATGATTTTATTTTAAAATGTTTGCTCAATAACCACCCTGCATTACTTGATAGATAAAGTAATACATGAAATTTAGTTTATCAGGGGTTCTTAGCATTTTGAGGGCCAAGAGCTCTTTTGAGACTTTGGTGAAAACCATGGAGTGTTTCACCCACCCAAATGCACAACAAAATAAAATATTTTTTGGTTTCTTTCAAAGAGCCAATGACTCTTTTAAAGTCTATTAAAATCTATTAACAAACCTCCAGATTAAATATCTCCACTTCATCCCCTTCATTTCTTAATTCATAACATGGGGCTAATCAGAGATCTAAACAATATATCTGCTATCCATAAATGTCAACAATGGCTCTATTACAACAGCAATAATAATAACTAGCATCTTTATTGTGGGCTCAATATATGACATACTTGGTGATCATATGATACATATACTGATATTATCATTGTTTTCCATATAATAAAACTGAGGCGTGGAGAGGTTGACTTCCTTCAAGCGCTGAAGCCAAAATTTCAAAGTGGGGAGTCTGATTCCTAAGATCATGTTCTTTGTGAAGGCAATTAGCATATTGTAAATGCTCAATAAACACTAGCTGCTGTAATTATTACTTATTACTTAAAGACAAGGGTAGTCCTTGTATAAAAATGCACAGCACGTAAGCAAAATTCTTTTTCTTGAATAAGTGGAAATGGATTTCTTTTCTTTGATTTAATAATTGTCTCCTTTTACTTTAGGTTCTGATAGTTAGATAATGGATCTTGTAAACCATTATATGTCTTCACCTCCAGCTAGGGACACATAACTTTTATTGTGGTCCATTATCTGGCCATTAGAGGCCACAAGTGTGTCCCCTGACCCTCTACCTCACATTATGCTGAAGAAAAAGAGTAGAAAATGTGGAGGCAGCAGCTTTCCTGACATCAAAAGTAAAAGGAGCTCCAAAGCCTCCTATATTGAGACCATTCATTTTCCTCTGGCTATAAAGTCCATCATGCAAGTCCTGTGGATAGAATTTAGTCCTGATGCCACTTCCCAGCCTTTCCTTCTTGCTTTGTCACTCCAAATGTCAAATCTAGCAATAGGCACCTCTACTGTAAATATTCAAATATTCTTTTCAATTGAACAAGGGGATTGAACTGCTCATAAGTTTCGATAAATGTGTCAAACTTATGAAGATTTTATATTCTTATCACACACATCACTGATCCCCAGACTTCAAGCATTCATATCATTTAGTGATTGTCTCTTAATGGATTTGTATGACATATTTTTGTTTCCAAAATTAGACTGAGCTATAGTTAATTCCAATTTAGAAATTTAGTTTTCAGAACTTCATATTGCTTGAAATAATTGAAAGCACTATGGGATGTTAGATGGGAAAAACCCACAGGTATTTGCTGACAGGATCTGTGTAAATCTGTTAGGATTATCCATATTCTCACTCAGAGAGGCAGAAAACTTAGAGGGTCCACATAACTCAAAATGTATGTTGCATGCATGTCTATAATCTCAGAGACTTGGGATGCTGAGGCAGGAGGATTGCTTGAGCCTAACCTGAGCAACATAGTGAGACCCTGTCTCCAAAAAACAAACAAAAAAGACACACCCACATATGCTTCAGAATACTGGGCATCACTGCAAGAGAGTTGTTGGCTTTGTCAATTGCCTCCACGTCCACCTTTTTATTTTGGTTTTAAAAGTAAATGAAATCTAAAAATTCTACTCTTGCGGTCTTAATGTTTTCTGTTCTGCTCACCTCTGTTTTCTTTAAAAGACTTTTTCTACCCCTTTGCCAATGTCAGCGCATGCTAATTCCATTGCTTGCCTCTCAGTTTGTTCTACTCACGGCAAATTTATAAAGGCATGTAAGTCTCTATTTGTATATTATATTTGCCATTTTAAGTAGAATAGATGTTTATAGGAGGCTGATCCCTAGTGTTCTAATATGTCATATAAAAAGTTTCCCCTATATTTAACAAATTCTAAAATAATGAACATTGTCCTCTCTTTTCCTGCTTTTCTATTCACATACTCTCTCCTCCAATCTCCCCCTTCCATTCTTTCTGAAAATCACACCCAAATATAGAAACTTATATATACATATATTATATATATGACATATATATTTTATACATATATAAATGTAAAACGTACATACTTTAATAGCAGAAACATCACTGGAAAGTTCTGTAAAGGTTACACAGCTTAAAGAAACGGCAGTGAAATGGTCCAGCTGCTTACCTGCTGCTTGTAAATTCCATAGTTACAGATATTAGACATTAAAGTTCATCACAGGCCCTATCCAATAAATTGTTATGTGGTGTGATTGAGAAAGAACTCACTGCCTATGTCTGATTTCCCCATGAGAACTGATCTTTTATCCCAAGTTTACAAGATGATGGCTTAAAGTACATATAAAAATGGAACTACATTCTTTGCTCCTTATCCAGGTAAAAGCAAACAAAGGGCAAACTTCTAATGAAAAGAGAATTGAGGATTTTTTAATTAGTCCCAGGTCCCATGAGAGCACTAACTCTGCCTCATGAAACCCCAAAAGAGACCAGAGAACTAGAACCTGGTATCTGACTGAAGCTGGAAGTTCTTAAGAGGATAAAGATAATGTCCTAAATGACCTAAAACAAATGAGGGTCCTATATCAACCAGAGAATTATAAAGTGGGAACAAGCCCAACGTGTAGGCTGCTCTTTTGAGAATACAGGTCTTTGATCTGCTCTCAAACACCAAGAAAGCAACTTCTTTCCCAATAATTATACAAGCTCTAACTTATGAAGATCTTGAATGCCAGAATGTCAGCAGTGCATTGTCAATAACAGGTTTTAAGCCAGGCATTGTAATGACCAGAGCTTTGTTTCAGGAATATTCATCTGATAACAGTGTGTAAAATGAGTTGGGAGAAGGAGTGACTTGAGATGAGATGGCTGATCAGAGCGACTTTACAGTCTTGCTAGAGAGACATACTAGAGATCAGAACCAAAGCAGTGTCAGAATGGATGGAGAAGGGTTAGTCGTCGTGAGCGATATGATTCAGGTAGAATAGACAAGGTTGGTCCCAGATGTACTAGCAGGAAAGCATCAACACCAACACTAAGATTTCTAGTTTAGTTAACTGTAAGAAGGGTAAGTAGTATTAATCATGAATAGTAAACATAAGAAGAACAAGTCTGATGGAAAATTAATGAAATCAATTTTGGAAATATTTATGTTTGAAGTGCCAGCAGAATGCACAGAAGGAAATACAGAGGCAGTTAAAAATGTATGCTAGAGCTTTGGGGAAAGGTCAGATCTGAGAGTAAAGTCATTGAGTGTATGATTATCAAAGAAGAACATACAAGGAAATGACAAAGGCCAAGAACAGCTGTTGGGCTACATCTGCATTTAGGAGAAATAAAACAAAAGGACCCTGAAGATATAAAGAGAAAGTCATGTCATAGAGCTAGAAGGAGAAAAATCCTTCATAGAAGCCAAGGAAGAATGGCCTCTTAAAGGATTTCTGTGGCATACTTTTGTTTACAAAATGAAAGTAAACAATAATTATTTTTTGAAATTTATTAGATGTTCAGAACACTCAAGATCATTGAAAGTAATGTTCAGTTGTGCAGACAGAAATAGTGAGAACTATGAAAAGGCTATTGGATTTGGCATGTCATGGTGACCCTTAGAGAGTAATTTTAGTAGCATGCTGATGACAGGAGCCAGACTACAAGAGAATAATAATTGAGGAAGAAGCAGGAGCATGGAATATAGATTTCTTTCTTCCTTAAAAAGTATCTATTGGTGGTTTGGCAGTGGCTTAAAGAAGAGGAAACAAAATGACTGCTCAAAAGGGTAACCGAAAAAAGGAGATTTTTACTTACTTGCTTGCTTACATTAGGATGAGGAAAACTTGAGCAGAGTTGGGGGGTCACAGTATTACTGGACAAGAGGTAAAGTAGATAAAAGAGAGCTTTCTGGGAGAGCAAGGTGTTGAGCAACACTGGGAGGGAGTGTTTTAGGCCACAGAGGACCAGCCTTGGAGAGAAGGGTATTATTGTCTGGGGCAAGAGTAGGAAAGAAGAGAAAGTCACTCATATTCAAGTGATATGGTTTGGCTCTGTGTTCCCACCCAAATCTCATCTTGAATTGTACTCTCATAATTCCCACATGTTGGGAAGAACCCCGTGGGAGATAATTGAATCATGGGGGCAGTTTCCCCCATATTGTTCTTGTGGTAGTGAGTAAGTCTTACGAGATCTGATGGTTTTATCAGGGGTTTCTGTTTTTGCATCCTTCTCATTTTCTCTTGCTGCCACCATGTTAAGAAGTGCCTTTTGCCTCCCGCCACGATTCTGAGGCCTCCCCAGTCATGTGGAAATGTAAGTCCAATTAAACCTCTTTTTCTTCCCAGTCTCAGGTGTCTTTATCAGGAGCATGAAAACAGACTAATACACCAAGGAAATGACTTTTGAGACAGACTTGAAGGATGTGAGAGAATGAGTCAAGTCAGTATCTGAAGGAGGAGGATTCAAGGTTTCAGAAGAAAAAAATGAAAAGTTTCTAAGACAAGAAAGGGCCTGACGTTTTCATAGTGGCCAGGGTGTCTGCAGGAGAGAATGTCAGAGTGGTAATGGAGTAAAGAGGATATGAGATCACGCAGGAATTTGTAGATAATGTTAAGGACTTTACCAGTACTGAATTCTGAGACATACATTTTACTTTTGACCTCTTACTGTGGGCAGCAAAGTTGAAAATTAGAGCCAAATTTGCATCCCAACTCTAGCTTTTGTGAAGTACCCTGTGCTATGTCTTTCTGTGTACTAACTTTATCTTTGATTAACTGTACTATTCCACTTTCAACCTGATTCCATTTTAAACACCCCTTTGAGTTTTATGCAATCATATTCCAATTCTTTTGCAACAACAAAAGTTATAAATAATCGAAAACAACTTGAAGGAAAATATAGAAAAGATGTTTATAAAAATTTCAGATGACACAAACAAAGATCTAAAGGAATTTGCTACTAGCATATAAGATCTCAGAAGGCTGAACTCTGGCCCTAAACCAATAGAACATAGCAAGAATAAACTTCCTTATTTATGTCTCAAAAAGAAATTATACATGAAGAGGTTGGGGGACGTGACATAAAATGCTTATGTGAAACAGGGAAGAAATTTTGATACAAGCTAACAATGTGATACAGCCGCTGAAAAGTGAATATTACCATGGGCTCTACTGATATGAATAGAAGTACCAGATTCAGACCTAAAGAGGAAAAAGTTGTTCTCCTGCACCTGTCCCAGACAACTTTGCTATCTTTTACATATGTCTGTGCTTCACCTTCAAAGAAATGTAGAACAATTGTAATGCATGTTGAGAAAAAGTGGCCAAGCTATGTTAAGAAGAATTAATATTTAATCTGAAGTAGGAATATAATAAGTGCATAATAATTGTTTCAAACATTCAAACTAGAAAGTTTATATGAAAAAGGATCAAATTAATTTTTGTTGCTTCAAAGATTACAAGTATAACCCGTAGACTGTGGTCCAAGGAAGGCATATTTTACTGTAACATATGAAAATGTTTTCTAATAATGAAAGCTCTCCAATGAGTTCCTTATCTCTGGTAGTGCTGTTGCAAAAGCTGGATGACCTTTGCCAGGGATGCTGAGTGTGGGGCCAGATGAACAGAGCACTAAGTCCCTTCAGTCTCTAAAACTTTATGCTAAGTAAGTTTGTAGTGGTGCTCAGCCCTGATATGATAAAGTTCCTTGCAAACTTGAAGATAGGTTTATCTACCTGAAATGACGTGAGCTAACATCTCACCATGATAAATATCCCCAAATGAATGCACATACAGAGTCAGTCCTTTTGAACTTTAACTTAAAATACACAATTGTAGAAATATCAATCTTGTAACATTAAACAACTGGACTGTTCTGGCAATTATATGTTATTATTAGTTTTAAAAGCATTGTCTCCTTTCTTGAAACTTAAATCTTTCTATGTTCTTTCCATTGTAAAATGTGAAAAAATCAGTTTATTGCTGTTTTGCATGCAAAACAAGTGAAGTAAGAACAAGTGTAGCAATGGCACTTATTATGGAACAAACCATTTACCTTATTCGTGAAATGTTTTAGGTTTCAAATCGAGAGAAAGCTCTTTCCTCTACCCTCCTTTCTCCAAGCAAAAGAACTCTTGATGGACCTGGCATACTTTCTGTATATGACCTTTCACAACAAAAATGGGTTGTCAACTGGGTGCGGTGGCTCACACCTATAATCCCAGCACTTTGAGAGACTGAGGCAGGCGAATCACCTAAGGTGAGGAGTTTGAGACCAGCCTGGCCAACATGGTGAAGCCCCATCTCTACTAAAAATACAAAAATTAGCCAGGCATGGTGGCATGTGCCTGTAATCCCAGCTACAAGGGAGGTTGAGGCAGGAGAACCACTGGAACGCAGAAGGTGGAGGTTGCTGTGAGCCAAGATCGTGCCACTGCACTCCAGCCTGGGAGACAGAGCAAGACTGTGTCTCAAAGAAGGAAAATAATAATAATAATAAAAAGTTCTCTAATGGCAATCAGTACTTACAGTAATACAGTATAAACAAATCTGTATATCTTCTATCTATCCATCCATCTATCCATTCATTCATCCATTCTTTCTTCTATCTATCCATCAATTGATAGCTTTGCAAGCAATGTAATATGCAAAAACCAAAATTTTTATATTCATAATTTTATTTTCTTTAAATTGAAACTATCAACCATAAGCAAGTTGTTTTCAACATGGTTAGGGTGGTATCCTTTAGCATTTGATTAATAAAAATTGAAGCAATGTGCTGTGTCTTTGGTTGTCATTGAATAAGTGGTATCTACGTGAAATCAACAACGGCAGGAAGACTCAAGTAAGTCAACACGAGACGTTCTAGAATATCTTCAATTTTTATAAAGTGCATATTTTCTCTGTTCTGTTTTGGAAATCCCTGGATGGCTCTATTCAGCCCTATGGATGGATTAGAAACAGAAAGGACATAATTGACTCATAGTGAGAATACTGGACTATTCAGTATATTGCTGTTGGCCCTCTACCTGAAAGAGCACAGAGATCCACAGAACATCCTATAATGTGATTAGCCAAAGTAAAGTTTTCTGGTGGGAACTAAT
This sequence comes from Homo sapiens, assembly GCF_000001405.40. Classification (NCBI taxonomy): domain Eukaryota; kingdom Metazoa; phylum Chordata; class Mammalia; order Primates; family Hominidae; genus Homo; species Homo sapiens. The sequence continues at coordinate 78,338,616 of NC_000013.11, read as the reverse complement.
GGTGTTGAGATATGGTAAGCTTATTTACAACTCTGTTTCTGATTTAGAAAAAAATTCCAAGAAGCTGATGCTACAACCAACTTTCATGGGTTCAGATTACAGGATTTATCCTGGGATCATTTTCAGAGAATGTATAATTCTCCTACCTCTTTAGTTCTATAGTCAATCTAATCACCTCTCCTCTTGTTTGTTTTTGTACTGTTTCTAGGATTATCTTCCTAGTGAAATTTATCTGCTACAGCCCACGACATTATTGTCTTTTTTTTGCTAGCTTGACATACTTGTTCTTGGGATTCTGTATGCATGGTTATAACATAGTACTCCAAGTACTCTTTTCTTTCGCTACTTTTAGTTTAGGAAAAACAGATATATTAATTCAATCAACAGCTATTTATTGTAATTCAGATATTGTCACATACAATTCCTCCACCACTGTAGGAAACTATTTACGAGTCTACCAAATATTATAATTTTACTTCCTCATTGTCATTCTGATCATGTGTGATATCTAGGCTAGCAGGGTCTTGGTTGTCTGAGGATGTAGAGTATTCCTACTGGACATATTTTTTATAAGCTGGTGCATAAGGAGAGTTAGGATATACCACGCTGGTAAGAGAGGAGCAGTGGTGAGTTTGCATTCTCTACTTGGGTGAATGCAAGGAGGGATTTCCATGTAGGACTTTGCCTTTTATCTGTTTATACTCAGGACCTGAGTCCCAACCAGAGCACCTCAGCCAACAAACAACACAAAAGATAAAAAATAAAAGCATAAATTCTCTATACCCTGCTGTCAGAGTTTAGAAGCTTGCTCAATGGAGTTATCATTGCTAACCAACTTATTCTCCTTGTATTTTCTTTTTCCCTTCCCCTTCCCTTCCCCCTCCCCCTCCCCCATCCTTCCTTCCTTCCTTCCTTTCCCTCTTTCTTTCTTTCTTTCTTTCCTTCCTTCCTTCTTTCTCTTTCTTTCTTTCTTTCTTTCTTTCTTTCTTTCTTTCTTTCTTTCTTTCCTTTCTTCCTTCCTTTCTTCCTTTCTTCTTTCTTTTTTCAGACAGGGTCTTCCTCTGTTGCCCAGGCTGCCCCAGGGGTGTGATCACAGCTCACTGTAGCCTCCACCTCCTGGGATCAAGTGATCTTCACACCTCAGCCTCCCAAGGAGCCAAGACTATAGGCTTGCACCACCACACCCAGCTAATTTTTGTATTTTTTGTAGAGACAGGTTTTCACCATGTTGCCCAGGCGAGTCTCAAACTCCTGGCCTTAAGTGATCCAACTGCCTCAGCCTCCCAAAGTGCTAGGATTACAGATGTGACCCGTTGCACCTGGTCTCCTTGTATTTTCATTTGTTCTCAGGCTCTGGACAATTTTTAAGTCTTCTGGAGAAATAAGGCTCTCTATATATTCTTTGGTTTTAAAAACAGTACTTGCTCAATGTTCCAAAAGACACTGCTGAAAGAAAATGGAGAATATAATTTCTTTATTTAGGAAAGTGAGTCCCCTGGGACAATTTGTGTGAATCTCACCACCTGGATCCTCATGAGGAATGTAATGCCCTGAAGCTTTGTGTTTTGCCAAACTCCTTAAATCTAAAGAGTAAGATAATATTGACTAAGAAAGATGCATAACTTTCCAGAGGTCCTAACACACCACGTAGACAATGGCTAGCTGGGTTCTATAGCAAGGTGATAGGATGCACACCTCAGCCTGCAGAAAAGCAGATCATTTTAAAGCTCCTCTGAAGCATTAGCCTCAAGGTTCAAGTCTATCTGGGCCAGAACCTAAGGAGGAGCCCAAGAAGCTGCACATTAGATGAGTGGAAGGCTAGAAGATACTCTAAAACTAAGTGGGCCCAGGGAATTCTAAGAGTTTAGCCCAAAACAAAGCAGATACATTCTGGAATCGAAGTAGGCAGAGTCTAGGAGGGTGGATATTTTTCAGCAATAGCATTAGAGTTGGTGGGGGGGATTTAAGTTCTTGTCTAAGACAGACACTGTGAAAGGTAGCAGAAGAGTGACTCAACCGGGAGGCAGAAAGCGAGGAAACTTGTGAATCTGATCTTGGGCAAGCCATATAAAAAAATGGAGCATAATCTCCTTCTTACTTTGCTCAAGCAGTTACTAAGAGGTTCAAAAGCATTGATAAATCATGCTACACATCTTAGCTACCCAAGGGTCTGGTCTCTACGTCCTTTGCATTCAAAAACCATCTTGAACTTACCATGTCCAACATCTTACAATGTGTTAGGTATTGTAGAGAAAACCTTCTTTTCTGTATACATCTACAGAGCAGTCTGAAAGCTTCAGATCTGGATAGTGATCTGAGGCAATTCAGAGACCTAGAGGTATATTGCATCAAGAACAGAGCTGCTAACATTTTTTTCCTCCTTCCTTGAAGCCTACAAAGCTCTTTCTTCAACTCTTTTCATTCACCTGCATGGTCTGCAGACTCCTTTCTTTTCAGTACATTTTTTTTTTCTTTTCACTGACAGTGGTCCTGAATCTTAATGAGGTATTAGACTATCTCCACATCTTCTGAGCTACAAATCTAGGACAATGAATCCACTTTTTGAAAGGTTGACATAAATTTTCAGTAGTTAACTTATGTAATGAGCAGCATGTCAGGAGCAAACCAAGAAAGCAAGAACAGACGTTCTGGCGCTAAGATGCCACTCTGCTAATACTAAACTAGTTCACTGAATCAGAACTATTCCAAAATGGACAGCTCAGCAGGTTTAGTGATATGTCTGGAACAGTGGAATAAATTTGGTTTCCTAACTTCAATCTGACAGCTTTATTTTTTAATATAATAGTACCGTCCTTACATTCAAAAACCATTGTGAACTTTCTCCGTTCAAAGCATTGTGATAGGTAGTACAGCAAAAACATAGATAGATATAATATTCCCTTCTTTCCTTTCTTCCTTCACTCAGCATGTATTTATTGAGCACTTATTGGGACAGGCTTGCAAGGGTGAGTGTGAGAAAGCATAATCTCCACTCTTACAGGGCTTAAGGTCCTTTGAATGTAACGGATATGAATCAAACAACCACACAAACAAATATAAAATTGTCACAGTGATAAGTGCTATATAAGAGCACTACATAGAATTGTGAGAGTATATATTAAGATTTTGCTTCATTGAGGGAGTCAGAAAAGCCTGTTTGAGGAAAATATAGCCTGATCTGAGAAATAAAGAATGAATGACAGTTATCAGGCAAAATAGGAAAGAAAGAATATTCGAGGCATAGAGAACAGTATATGCAAAGATCCTGTCGTGGGATAAACCACATTGAATATAAAGGTCTGAAGAAAAGCCAGAGACTAAAGAGAGCAAGGGGGAATGTGGTGGGGGAAAGTTCAAGATGGTAGGAGCATCCCAGGCCACAAAGAGCATTACATGACATTGAAGGGCAGTGGGGAAAACGTATGAGAAAGAGAGGAGGTGGGAAGTAGGAGAGGAGGCAGAGTAGGGGTAACACAACAAACAGTTAAGAGACTACTGTGACCAAGAGAGAAACAATTGTAATTGTAACTGGATTTGGTGGTGATAATAGTACAGAGAAGGAAAAATCTATGGATTTGAGAGCTATCTATGAAGTAAAATCTACCAGTTAGGTGATGGATTGATTCTCCACGAGGGAGAGGCAATATGAAGGACAACTGTTGGGTTTCTTGTACAGCTGGGTGGATTCAGGTGATAGGGAAGTGGGGAATGAGATCTAATTTGGGCTGGAGAAGTAATTACATCTCTTACACTTTCTTAGTGTCCTCATGACTAGTAGTAGTTACAGGATGATTTGATTATCCATTTAGCCAACAAATATATGCTGACTATCAATTGTGTCCAAAGTTATGGTAAAGTAATGTTGACAAGTGCAAAGGCAAATAAAATCCGGTCCTCCTCTCAAGAATCCAACAGGTGGTGCAGGTTCTCTGTCCTCCAGTCTCACTAAACCAGTGTCCTGGGCAGGGTTCTGTCTGCACAGAAGCAGGAAGCCTTTTATTAAATTTGCTCAAAAGCGGCTTGTTAGTGACACCTGGTTATTTTTTACTTAATAAAGACCAACTTCTTCTTTGGTCTGATGGCCTTAGCCTTTTCCCATCAATAGGAAGTTGAGGGATTTGGGCTACGTGGCTTGTGACTGCTCTGATTTCTGTGAAGTTGTGACATAGGACTTGCTGTACTGTTCTATAACAGAAGGAAAACGCTATGAAAGAGCAGCCACTGGGGCACAGATTTCTGGTTACTCACTCCCGCATTCATCCCTCTTCTCAGTAAAGGTAGGGAAAACAGATTTATTTCAGGGCAGCAAATCGCCCTGTCATTTGCCAGGCTTCACACGCACCAGAGGGCGTGGCCATGGGGCTGGGTTTTAGCCAATGAGAAGCAAGCAAAGGTGTGGGCATTTTAAGGGGAAATGGCCAACCGTCTATGGTTCTTTTTCCTTCCTGCTACCTTGAGTGCAGATGAAATCAGGAGAGCAGACCTTTTACACTGTGAGATCACTCTGAGAACTGTGGCCCTTTGATAACAGGGTGAAAAGGCAAGAACGAAGAACCTAAAACCCTGACACTTTGGAGCCACCATACCTGTCCTGCACTGTAACTCTGGGCTTTATTATGTGAGAAAGAAAACAACCTTCTATTTTGTAAAATAAGCTACAGTTATTTTGCGCTTTACGTCACATGCAAATAAGCCTAATTCTAATGGATTTTTAAGCTATGACAGCTACAGCTATTAATAAATCGGGAATTCATGAGAGCTTGGAATAAAGTCACTGGAAATGTTTCTTTGTTTTATTTATCTAATTGACTCTCTTCCTGTAAAATTCTGAGATCCTTAAGGGGAGAGAAGATATAAAAATCTATATTGAGCAGAGTACTCTAAAAGGGCTGTATTTTATATGTTAATATATAGATAGTGTTTGTAAAGTGACTTTTAGATTCAGAGCATATGAAAGATGATAATAATTTGTCTTACTTTAGACAACCTGGAAATTTTTTCTGATCTTTGATAAAAATGCAGTCTCCCAATCTGAGCTATCTCTAGGACTCTATCTAAGTACGAGCAATTTATAAATAAAATTCCCATTTAAATTGCAGAACAAACGCTCAACACCTTACTAAGAGAATGTGGAGGGCAAGGAGTCAATCAATCAAATCTAGAAAATAGTTTCTGGGAATTTAAAACTTAAATAATCAATTAGCAAGAAAAAGATATAAGGACAAATTCTATGCTTGCTGCTTTATTTCAATCATTATATAATAAGGGTTATTTATTGATTGGTATCTAGTCTCTTTTTTCCTTTATATTTTCACTAGAGTCTTGGGTGATTGAGTGTCACTTCTAGGGGCATGGAATTAGTTGGGGCATTACTTACATGGGGATGTGATGAGATTGAGGAATGCAGGGATCAGGTAGGTCAGGGAAGAAGAGAGTAGCCAGAGTGAAATTTGAACTGAAGTCCAGGAAAGAAGCAATGATAATGGCTTGAGAGATAGCACCAACTGTTAAGTCCAAGAGAGTGAGCCAAGGGAAATGAGCTGGAAACCAAGGAAATCAGTGGTGAGGCAGAGTTCTTGGCAAGTTGGGGCAAGAAATTAAGAGAAGCATATGGGCCAACTGCAGTGTGACTTTAGTTTCTAGCCTTGAAGCAGGCATTCATATAGCCTAAAGAGAAGGAATATCAACATGCCCAGAAACACTTCCCATGGTAAGCTTGGCTATCCCCAGTAGCATTTTTCTGTGGTATAACATTTCCTGATGTCTATATAAGAAATTCACTAAGCCTTGGGTTTTAGAACCTCACTATCTACCTGTGCAGGTTTTCCTGTCAGGAGTTTGTAAGAGAGATGCGCTCTTGCAAACCTTGACTTAATTATTTAAAAATCTTCCCATCACTGAGATGCGTCATGCAAATAAGAGATATCAAAAAATATCTGTTATGAATGCATACGTATATGAAGGCATTAATGAATGCACAAATGAATGTATGAGTGAAGAGAAACTATATTCTCTGTTAGAGCTAACTATATTTAATGCTTACCTCGAGTAGAAGATTAGAGAGTCACTGACAAATTTGCCACATATCAATAAGCAAAAATAAATACAGAACTGCTGTATATATTAATATTTATATAATGGTGGTAAGACTACTGGCTCTGCCACACTGACCATTTTCTACTTTAACTATTGAAAATTGTTTCTAGAAATAAATTGCTCCATCTTTGTATATCTCATCAGAATATTAAGATTTTTTGTTAACATTTATCAAGAAAACATGATGTTATTCCTAAAAGTAGCTCCATTGCTCCAAATGTTTCCTTTTTCAGATAATCTATGTGTCTCACACTTTATAATTTAATTATAGATAATTTTAAGTATACCAAAATTATAGTAGGAAAGATTTGAGCTAGTTTCTAGAATGTAGTGTCTGAAAGTAGGATTGTTAAAAATAATGTAGATTAAGGGCAGTCTTATAAGAAGAGCTGAGGTGAGAATTTGGGCTTATATCACCTCTTTTCTCTTTCTTCCTCTTCTTTTTATTCTTACTCTCTCTCTCTCTCTCTCTCTTTCTTATTTTAAACTAAATTTATATAATACTAATAATAGCCTAAATAAAAAATAATTCCACAATTCACCCAAATTAGAAAAAAAAAACCCACCCTCTTTATTCACCAGCTTTGTTACTACTTTTAGATGGATGGTCAGTAAAAACTGACTTCTTAAATGCTTTTCTAAATGGTTTCATTCTGTCTTGGCCTATAGGACAAAGTCATTTTATAATTAACCAATGAAAATTTATATTTGATGAAATCCAGAAAAGAAAGAACTATGAAAAAGTAAAAATAGTAGAATAAAACCAGGGTCTCAAACACGTTTCAGTTTGTTTTATCTTGTGTACGTGCATTTAACACATTTTTCTCACAACACACCTCTTGACCCCAAATCTTCCAAACCATCCAAGTGTAACAAACAGTATATGCTAATATTAGTTATTGTCCCTTGAAGCCATCTCATTTTCTGATCTTTGCAAAGAACATTCTGATGATTACGAGATTCACATGTCATGACTATTATTTTAATATTGGAGTATTAGTGTGTCATGAAATGGATTTCATTATCATAATGTAAAGGCCAGTTCAATCAACTGCATCAAAACAGAGAGTGAACAATTTGACCTAAAGAAAGTGCGTTAAACTGTGTGGGTGTGATTATGTGTGTACATGTTCACATATTTCTACACTCACTTCATGTCTTACCATAAACTGTATTTCTCTCCTCTTCCATTGTTGGATCCCAATATTCAATAAAGACATTTCACTCATTGTATTGCAAAGAAAATCATATGTAGGGCCACAAAAACAGAAGAAAAGCAAATAAAGATGCTAAGAGCTCTCGATTTCAGGTATGAGTGAATTTTATGTGTGCTATGTTACAAATTGGGATAATGTCTTAAAAGACAGTAAGCTGTTTTGGATAGCTTCAGGCTTTACCAGTGCTTCTCAAAGCATCTTCTTTGTACCTTTTTCTTCCTTCACAAAAAATTCCTTTGATCTGAATGAGATTTTTGCCTAAGGCTTAATAAAATTCAATAGCTGTTAAACTTTACTTTTTTGCCTTGTATGCATTCTTTATTAAATTATTGAAGATTTCATTCTGGGTTAAAAGTAATCAACATAGTAATATATCAATTACTGCCTTGATTCTTAAACATAAAACATAAATATGAAACAAAGGAATAGAATTTATGCCATTATTTATTAGTTTTTATTTTCTAAAACTGAGTGTTTTGTTGCTGTTGTTATTTAAAGGAGCATCCTGATTTCATTTATTTATCAGGCAGTAGTCTAACTCTTACTGCTGGTAAAGCACTCTGTTGATATTAGGGGATACAAAGTTGAATAAGGCATTTTTCCTTGTCTTAATGAGCAAGAAGTGTGAATGAGTGGGAAGAATCACATATAAATATTCAAAAGTGTGAGGGGGTAGAGGCAAGTACAGAATGAAGGAGAGAAAAGGGACAAAGAGAAAAGAAGCAAAGATGAGCCATGCAGTGTGGACTATGCAGTGGAGGAATGCCTGGCCTCATTGCCATACTGCCTATGAAACTCTTGATCTGCTTTTCCAGATGGAACCACTGATATTACCCTGTGGGAATACGTATAATGCTCATCACTCAATCAATAATAACTCCCAATTGGTAAGCTGTATGTCTCAGGCATTATCTCATTTCACTATCATCAGCCACTTTAAGAGATAGGTGATATCAAACCCATTTTGTTGAGGAAAATGCACCCCAAAAGGCAGATCAATCTGTGTATAGTCATACATGTGTATTCCTCCAGCCAACAAGTAGAGGAACATAAATGAATGTGACATCAGTTTGATGCTGGAGCCAATGTCCTATGCCCTTTCCCCTCACATCTCAGTAGTGCAAGTAAATAGAGAAGTCTTTTGCCTTTGAGATGGGAAAATAGACTAATGGGAGTGAATGTTCTTAAATCGCATCTTAACAGTGTGGTTCAGGGTGAGAGGGTTCCTCTGTCTAGGGCAGATGTATATTATAGCATAACACATAATACAATTTCATGATATATTTCCTTTCATACAATGCATAGTTCATGCTGGTTAAAGAAAATATCTTCAGACATGCTTAGCTAAATGATACAGTCTTACTTTCTTTGTTCTCACCTAAGTATAAAATTTGGAAGCAAGATGACTTTGATGTTGGCAGGTTAGATTGACAAACAAATTATTTGAAGTCTTTGAATGTCTCATCATTGGTTGAACGGGGGAAATATTCACTTGAAAGGTAGTTCTGACAATTTAAACAGATAATATAGGGGGTATAGTCAGTGATACTTACGGTATTTGTGCCAGTAAAGTATCTAAGGAATTAATAAGAGGTACCCACTCTATAAAAACTATTATTAGAAATTTGTTTTATTAACACTCATATTTGTGGGGTTCCTTTCCAAATTCATATTTTAACTCTAATTTCTAATGACTTTAGTTAAAATTAAAGCACTTTAAATCTAGAGAATTTTCAACATCACACAGAGAAGGCAACTAATTTTCTGGCCCATTTATTACACAAAGCTCCCTAAATTCAGGCCAAAGCAGCTCTTCCTCTGTTTACAGTGATTCCACATTAAACACAGATCTAATTTGCAAATTATTATCACCCTTAGACTCCAGATTTCTTTTATTCCCCTGCCTGGAAAGAATTTATACCACTTTTTACTCATGTAGTCATTTACATTTTTGAAGGCCAAGTTTTCTTTTTATGTAGACAGTTCTAACTTCTTTGGATTATATTTCTGGTGTCCCTGGTGTTTGATACTCCCCCCAAGGTAGGATCATCTTAAAATTTTATGAGTATGTTTTGAGATCTGCATCTTCCCTCAACACATTAATAAAAATGTTGAATTAGAAAGAACCTCACACATATCCCTTATGATAACCTCACTTACTACATCTCAACAATTCAACACAGATTTTACAAAAATTCACTCAATTCATTTTTACAGACATTTATGAGAGCTTTCCTGCTATAGCAGTAGCTGGAGGTGAAGAGGTGGATAAGCCCATATTCCCTGTTTTCAAATAGTTCACACGTGAATTACCCATGAGAAACCATTTCTCATCTGAGAGCTATCCTGTAACTTCTTGGTCAGTGCAAAGGTGAGGGAAAATATCTCACTTGTTTTGATCCAGCACAGTTTAAAAAGCTAAAGAGTTACTATTAATTTGTTAAATATGAGTATTATTGGGTAAATGCTATGTGTTTGTATCATTGTGTATTATTCGCAGACTCATTCATAGTTGAAGAAGCAAATAGTTTTGGGGTTGAAAGACACTGGGGAGATTACTTCTTGTGGTACATCAAAATCCTAGAGAGAGTGCAACTGTTTGAACAGGATCTCAAAATGAGTTAGCAAAACAAGCGGTAGTGTTGTATCAGTTTTTTTCACTGCTCTGAATTGCCTTGGTAAATTATATCCATGTTATGAATGTCATCTTCTCTTAGAAGGTAAGCTCCTCAAAGACTGGGTTTGTATCAAGCATAGATTTTGTGCTGATGCTACCATGCTTTGAGTATTACATTGAATTAACAATATATTTATAATTTGATAGTTAATATTAAATATTAGACAACAGTTGTGTAGGTTTGTGTTTTGAATGTGTGGCAGAAGGGTGCAGAGAATAGAAAATTTCAAAAAACAATGGAAGTGATAAGTGGTTTTAGATGTGTCTGATGATAGGAAGACAAATTTTAAAGTTTTATGGGAGAATATAAGGAATGATTCGTTAGAGGTACACAGAAAAATAAACAAAAGAAAAGATTAGGCTATTATTACTTCTAGAAAAATGTGTACTAGACTAGAAATATACTCAGCCTCAAACAATATTTGAATAATATTTGTATAATAATATAAACAATTCTGATTTAATTAAAACCTGTGATATAGTTGATAGGAAGAACTGAGGCAAGGTAAATAGCTACAGTTTCATCTTTCATAGTGAAGACAAGATATATGATGTCAAAAACTTAAAAATCAAGCAGTGACTCCCTAACCATTCAGAAATATGGAAGTAAATATCAGAAGAAAACAGCTAAAAGAGTTAGAAATGGCTGCTTCTGTTGGCAAATCACTGAGGTGAGGAGAAGTTGTGTGAGAGAAGCTGTTTCATTTATTATAAACCTTGGAGAAATACTTGACTTTTTAACCAATACAGGTATTACTTTAATAAAAATAATTCAGCCTAGAAAAGAATAAATGGGTATATCTATATGTATATAATCAATAGAAAAATATACACTCAACTAGTTACAAAAGTACATTTACTAGAAGAGATAGCTGGGATTCTGTCAACATATTTTTAGAAGCAAGGCCACAAATGAGGAAAATTTGAGCCAATCTGGATGTTATCTATCAGAAGACCAACAGTGTGGGTCTGTTTTCCATAATTACTGCATGAATAGGCAAAGAGAATTCTAAATAGAACAATGACAATTACTCTGTAGTGAGAACTTCACATCAATATTTCACTTTTGTGAGTAAAATATAATGAATTTTATTTTTCCCAATCCTTTCATATATCCCAGAATGCACATGATTAAAAAGAGAAAAATATATTTTCACATGGTCATATAAGTTCCCTAGTTACATCAGTATCTTGATTTATTGATTTGCTACGTGTTTATTTTCAAAAATAATGTTTGTGTCCTTTTTTGATGAGATATTTAAAAATATATCAGGACCTTATTCTACTTGTTCATATTGTAATCTCCAAGACTATGGACAAGTTAGTTTACTTCATTGAACCATAATTCCTAATATTGGAAAAATAATTGAAAAGCATATCACTTGTTCAGTTAAGTGCTTAGGAAATAGTGGGCCCCCCCAAAAATCGCGATTATTGTTTTTTATAATTATGTTGTCTTCTATATTTCTTCATATGACAGCACAAAATATTGCATCAAAGAGAATGACTCCTTATGGTACTGCTCATTAGATATCTGAGGATTCCCTTTCCAAATGTCCTTATAGCTCTTATAAAAGCATTTACAACAATCTAGTAGACACCCTTCTTCAAAAAGTAGCAAAAAACAAACAAACAAAAAAGCAAAGACCTCCACTTTGTGAGGAGATAGATGTTTTCAGTAGCCTATTTCATTTTGTCACTTCTGCAATAGCGTCAGTATTGTCAGAGTTAAGAGCCAAGCCCTAGTCATACACAGCTGATGGATAAGGCAGCCAGACTGTGGATACAATTGCTGCAGGAGTAGCTCAATGCCATCTGGAGTATGTCCCTGGTGAATCATGCCCTATATGTAGCTGAGAGCTGCCAACTCATAAGTGCTGGAGAAAATTGGAGGAAGTAAGTTAGAAAGGGAACTAGAGATGCACAGTTTTCCAATAACTGCCAAGCACCTACAATTCTTAAAATTCTGCTCACAACAATAACAGCTTTATATGTCTGTGTGATATTCATAAAAATAAATCTATTCATTTTGACATAAAGTAAAATTTGTTCATAAATTATGTGTTTCTGCAGTTTTTTTATAAAGTGGCTTTCACTGATTTCCTAAGGATTATTCACAATTTTTTATAAAGTGTTTCTTAATTTAACATGTCCACTGTGACATGTCCATTATGACATGACCAGGTTGAAAAATCTTGTAGTGTATCTACGTATGTATCAGAAGTTAAAGTGTTTTGCTAAAAATAACCAAACAAACTAGCTTTTCCATATCAACTAAACTCTTTCTCAATGAAAGCATACCGTGAGTTTTTGAGTGTCAAACAAGGCAGTTAATGTTTTTTTCTGGCAGCTATTCTTGCAACTTTTATTTCTAGGCTCAGCTGCATTCTGCTGTGTTCTACAATATTTCCAAAAACTGTGTTCATATTCTTACTCATCTAAGAAATTACAAACACATCTGCAATTATTTAGCTGTTGTTATCATATATGACAACACTCTGCTTAATAGTGAAGTGTTCTAAGCTACACTTTTTTTCTCCCAGATTTTATTTCTCTTAGTACTTTGTCTATAACGTATGCTGGATTTCCTTCTCTTAGGTACCATTCACCTTCTGAGTTTAAAGGTCCTATATCTTTTACAATGCCAGGTTATTCCTATTACTAACAAGTTTAGTTTGATGTCATACACTAGTATTTAACACCTATTTATTTCCTTGTAAGTAGTTTCAAAGATACTATATTTGTCTTTTGAAAAAGAACAAACTCAATTCTCTAATGCAGTTACCTCTCCAGCTCAACATATCCTGAGGCTGTTCTGGCAAAAGCCTGTAAAAGATTGGTATTGATATTCTGCAGCAGTCACATTGTCAAGCTTCCAACAGGAGGAAGAGCATTTAGAAAATCTGGCCATGTGGTAGCTAATTACACTATTATAAACTGAATTTACAACAGGTGACTTGTAGGCTATGAATTGACAAAAAGCACCCAAGCACTTCTTCAATTATTTTCCCATAAATTGAGAAACAAAAGTAGCATTCGTTATGTGGTACATCAATGCAGATATCTTAAACATATTGCAGAAGTCCTGCACAATTTTTGTAATCTCACATACACCTTCTTGGTGCTTGTTTATTTTCATTATTTTCTTACAATTCATATTTAGTAGGTTCCTTGTGTTCTTCTACGATTTTCCCTTTTTTTTTTTTTTTTTTTTTTTGGAGACGGAGTCCTGCTCTGTCACCCAGGCTGGAGTGCAGTGGCACAATCTCAGCTCAGCATAACCTCCGCCTCCCTAGTTAAGAAATTCTCTTGCCTCAGCCTCCCGAGTAGCTGGGACTACAGGCACATGCTACCATGCCCAGCTAGTTTATTGTATTTTAGTAAAGCCGGGGTTTCACCGTGTTTCCCAGGCTGGTCTCAAACTCCTGAGCTCAGGCAATCCTCACACCTCGACCTCCCAAAGTGGTAGGATTACAGGCGTGAGCCACCACACCCGGCTCTTCTATGATTTCTAAACTGGAGGCTCATTCCAGTCATTAGAAGACAACTAAGGGAGATGACACATGATAACATAACACTAAAAGACTCTTAGAGCTTTCTTCAATGAAACTCTCTATACTTCTAAGTGTGAAACACATAACTGGTCTTTAAATCTGAAGTGCTTTGCATATTCTTGTCCTTTAAAACTTATTGTCTAGTGAAACGTGTGCTTTGTATTCAGGCATGATCCATGTGTCATTGAAGGCAATGATCCAATGTGCTATGGAAATTTCCTGGGGCATATTATAAGCTATTGTTTGCCATCTTGGCTAGATAAGCCTGCCTCATTTATTGGAGGGCCATTTCAGCTGTACTGTCAATAGTGGAGGAGGATCAGGTCACCTTTGCCTAGAATATTATGTAAAAGCTGTCAAATGTTCAGGATTACAGGCACATTAAATGTCGTTAAGATTTCAGTCATACCAGTATTACTGAGGAAGGTTTACAGTGAGTTTGTCATAATTCTGCCTTGGATTTCTCCACTTTCATGCTAAAATCTTGTAATAGTATGACCAAAATTTCATTATAGGTAGTTCTTTGTATAAGAGGAACAGATGCTGGCAGGTTTGTCTGCTTATTTTTATGAATGTTAGAACAAGCACGTTTTAAAATAAAAAATGACCTAAATATCTTATTATCTTTCAGAATTAAAAATGCACTCCCTTTATTTTCCGAGTCATACAACCTCAGTGTATCAACACAGACTTTTCATATTTGGAGAGCCAGCTTATTAAAAGCTACAATAAATTTAACAAGGAATTTTTCATTATGGTATCCATTATAAAAAGCACACCTTCCAAGTAAGACTAGAGCAGTTCATTTTGGAGTGTATTTACTTTTTACGTTGTCAACATTTTATTATAGTATTAAGAGATGATTGCTCTTACTGCACAATATAAATGCAGTGGGCATTCATAGACAAACTGATATTGGCAGCCTCTGAACACTTCAAAATAATAAATTGTATTTTTGAAAGGTATTTCAAGGTTAGCATCTTTCATTGATGACTCATGTTGAGTTATTGCTATAGCAAAGTTTCATATTTACTGGATCAGGTCCAAGACATTCCATGTTTATTGGATCAGGTCTAGCTCCAGGTCATTGAGAAGTCTCCATGATAAATTCTGCCCCTGATATCGCAAGAACCCACTCCCACTGCATCCTTTCTTCCTGGCTTACAGGCCTCCCATCCTTTCTTTCATCCTCTCACTTCCTCACCCCTACAATTATCTACATCCATAGAATTCTTTATATTTAAGGCACCTGAACACTTACTATGTCACTGGAAGTATCCCAGTTTTAATCCTAATATTTCAGTGGTCACATCCTTCCTGGGAATATGTAAACCTACACATTTGCATTCTTCATTCCAAATTTCAGTTCACATAACAACATGGAAGGAAAAATAGGTCTGGAGTCATGGTCTAGTTAATTCCTTGCTTTTATCTCAGTCCTTTTACTTTAAAGTTTTTTTTTTTTCATTGCAATCAGCAGCTCCATGTTATAAAATGAGTTATAGAGTTGGTGCAATACACTCTGCTCTGGTAGGAACCTTCCTCAAGTGCAAGTACAACTCAATACCTATAAAGGAACTGGGACACATTTTAAATTCCCCAGATACATATTTTAAATGCTCAAAAGATCAACCATAAAAAAATCAAACTATCAACAATTTTTCCAAACATAGAAATATTTTAAAATACAACTCATTTCCTTACATATATTTTAACATCTAAATTTTCATTTTAGGGAGAATTGTTTAAGGCATGAAGAATGCATTTCTTCAGACTGGAGCAGAGCCTTGAGAAGATGCTGGCTTGGCTAATGGGGAAGGAGAGAGAGAAAACTAATTCCAGAGGATGTGTCATATCTCAGGCAACACAGGCCAGGATGAGGGCAATGATTAGAGAAATGAGTGCAGGAAGAGGTGGGGGGAACATAGTGTCATTATATAATTTGTCACCCAACTATATTTCTCCCTTTTCCACTCAGTTCCTGTCCTTGAATGTGTATTCTCTAACAAGCTAATTTATTGATTTTATTACAGTAAGTAAGAGAGCAAAGTTGCCTTTTTAAACACATCATTTTAAATAAAGGATATAAGACTACCTTTTTTATTAATGGAACATCTTGGTGTTGTATAAAGAGCACTGATCTGGAAGCAGAAGAGAGCGTTGTCTTATCTCGTCCTTCTGAGTCTCAGACTGGCGAGATCGAAGTTCTCTGTTCTATTGCCTTCCATGGAAATAGAAAGGCAGACCAAAGACCTGGAGGTGCTAGCTGGCATCTATGATCCATGCTTCATGGTGTCCTAAAAACAGCATGCTCATTAATTGATGCTAAGTTGAAATGCCTTTCTTGAATATTTTAAAATTCATATCTGATGTCTTTTCAAAAGTATAACCATCCCACATAATTTGGCTGCAATTTTACCCTAATTTCTTTAAGAACATTCAACAAATATATTACTGATGCTTAATCAATTAAGAGGCATCACTCCATCCCAATAAACGGAAGCCTTCACCTAGCCTAGAATGTTGGAGTCCATTGTTTCCTCCTGAACCCACAGGATATAGATGGAGAAAAAAATGCAATGGTAATTTTGGTTGTGAAAATTAATAAACCTGGCATGATGACAGTGCCTCATGAACAATGGAGAGAAGTTAGAGGCTCACATTCCCCTCCAGATTGCTGGAGTCATCTAGTATAGTTACTCTTCATCAGAAGTATTTATGGCTGTAAATTGTTTTTGCTTTTCATACAGTTGTCTTCCGATTCTTCTGGATTGATGTCAGATATGATAATAAAACTAAGCTTGTACCCCCGTAGGCAAGAGGGTTTGGGACTCTTGATGGCTTGAGAAATGTGTGGGGTTTTTGAAAGTGTCTTTTGTAGTTGTTTTTCCACTGCTAGCCAGCCAAGGCCTTCCCTGGAGCTCTGGGAGAAGCTTGCCCCGTGGACAGACAGTGGTAACCTCACAAGGTCAGCCTTCTGAAATTGGAAGAGAATGGTTTCCCTGGCAGTGTTGACGGTTCATTGTGGCCATAAAAGGGCCAAAATGAGAAGAAATTTCCCACATCTGAGCCCACTTAACTACTCAGCAAGAAAGAAATCAGAGCATTCATCGCAGCAAAGACATGCCTGCTTGATTTTATCATGAGGAGAGTAGCTTTAGTAGGTGGATTCTTTCACATCTTAGTGAACCTTTGTGTCTTATTTTCTCCCCCAGGCTTCTGTTTTTCTTCTCTCAAGTCCACAGTTTCTCTTTCTTTGTTCACACTATTTTCTGAAACACCCCATAAATGCAATGCAAGAAAACACCTGGATAATTTCCATTTCCTACTCTGACAAAAGTTAAGAGTGGAATAAAGCAAGCCTCTGTCCAGCCCACAAACTCCTTTGCATTCTTCATTTTTTTATGTAAATATCAGAAGGAGCTCATATGTTAATCTTTGATATTCCTTATGTCATATGCAAAAGTAGAAAGTCATGTGAGGTTTGCCATTTAGTTTATCAGCCACTGTCATGGAAATCTGAGTATCCAGAACCATTGGCAGGGCCCCTTTTCTGTGCTCTCCTCAAGCCAGGTAATACTGCTGCTACCTCTACCAGTACTATTACTAGCAGCTAGGGATATTCAAGGAATTATATTGCATAGATAATTGTAGCAGCTAGCTCTTACATAGTGCTATATATAACAATTCCTTGCCTATTCCTTGCATGTAAATGATAGTAGTAGCCAGCAATATAGAGTTAGTATATAAGCTAGCTCTTATATAGTGCTATATATAACAATTCCTTGCATATTCACTACCATTACTAGTAGAGCTAGCTCTTATATAGTGGAATATGCAAGGAACTGTTATATATAGCACTGTATAAGAACTAGCTCTATTAGTAATGGTAGTAGCTAGCTCTTACATAGTGCTATATGCAAGAAATTGTTTTAAGTGCTTAACTCATTTAACCCCCACAGCACTATGAGACAGACACCATATTTAGTCCCACTTTACAGAAAACTGAGATACAGAGAGATTAAACGACTTGCCCAAGCTCACATAGCAAGCAGAGCCAGGATGCAATAAAAACAGTGTCTTCACTCTTTAGCACTATGTTCAGGTTTCATTTGCATGTCTTCATTTATTTTTTCATCTGAAATCCTTAAAACTAGTAACCTTGACCAAGCGTCTGAAAACTACAAAGATTTCAAGGAGTAATTCCTTGATCTCCATCATTTAAAATGAAGACTCATAACATTGCTCATCCCTAGTTGTCTGAAACAGTTCTGGTTTATACCTACTACCTGTAGCTTGTTTTATTCTCAAAAGTATACTGGCTTACATGTTTAAGAATGAAAAGTAATAACATTTTACAATAAAATAATAAATGTTATGGCTACTCTAAATGGAAACGAGAACCATATTTGGAAGAACAGAGTGAATTGCTGCTTTGATCAATGAATTTATTTTGTCCAGAAATAGGACAACTTTGTACTTCACCAGTACAGACTCTGAATTCCGGTTTGGAGCCAAACACATTTCTCTCATGTGGAATGGGTGTATTCTTAAAAGAATGTTGGAGGTGAGGCAATTGCCATGTTCCCTTTGGGGAACTAGACATTTTATTTGTGCTGGTTTTGATGTAGGGAAGCTTATAAAGGGGTGAAAGTACTTTCGTTCTTGTTGTGTCTTACTGCTTAAGGAAGGATGGGTTGTTGACTGAAGTGAAGGAAATGCCTTAATAGCATAAAACAGCGAGCTGGCTCCAGAATCAATAGGGCACTGAAGCAATGCAAACAGACATAATACTTGAAACATACAAGGAAGGGTGCGGGAAAGAAACTTCAAACTTCATGTGAATGATTTGTATTTACTATAAAGAGCAAGAAGTTTAGGGAAAATTTTGAAGAAAATGAGAGAAGTCAGATGAGGAGATTGGAAAACTCATTGGTCAGCAGTATTTAGAATATATTAGAAGAGGTAAAGCTTGAAGTTGAAGGGCCAGAAGGGTCAGAAATATAGACATTTTTGTAAATTTATGTGTTGTATTTCCACAATTATTAAACTGTGTTAGTAGTCTCTGAATGCTGGGCTAGCGCAAAACCCAGATTAAAAATTAAGTTGCAGAATTTGATGAAAGATAGACATTGATAATACTCTCAAAATGTAATAAGTCATATGGTGAAAGGATTGGAGATCACTGAATATGCTTCCAGGGGAAAATGTTACATGTAATTAAGCTCAGGGTGGAGTAGTAGTATCTCTGGGGTGATAAACTAATGGACTTAAACTATTTTCTCACTTTTAGATTTTTCTGTCTCTCCTGATCAAAGTTGTAACTTATAATGGGTAAAAGACTTCTGAGAGCTTAGATAAGTATTTAAAAAAGTTCTTTGCATATTTTAAGTAGCCTTCACATCCTTTTGCAATCTTTGTTGATCAATACCTTCCACCTCCTAATCTACCCCTGTCCTTACCCATGCAAATCAAATTAACCACTGTTTTAGCCTATCCTAAATAGCAGAGAGTGAGGCAAGACTACATTGCCAATCCTTTATAGGGAAATGACATTTCTAGGCAAAGGTGAGGGAAAAGGAAATGAATCAGAGAGGGATGGAAGCAAATGCAAGGTGATGTGTTATGGTGCTGGCCAGACAATGCTTCAGGAGGTTTCCAGACAGGATGCGTGGAAAAGCCACCACTCAGAACAGTCCTCTACAAGGAATTTATCTAGTGTATTATTCTAGGCCTGTCTCCCATTGGTCTGTTTGCCTCATGAGCTGTCTACTTCCCTGAGTTTTATTGTTGTATCACTTGGCCCCCTTTGGAAGTGGTGTGGGGCTTTGTCTAGTCCAAAATTGTTTGGAAGAGCCAAAGCCTGTGGACCAGGCTTGCAGTAAACTATCTGTCACCAGGATCTATAAACCCACAGATAGTCTGTGACCTTGATGTCAGCTATGTTGGGCAACTGTCCAAGGTCTAGGAGATAAATGAGGTTGAGAGAATCTGAGGAAGCATTTACGCTATGTTGGAGGCAACCACACACTCATATCCCCACCGTCCTACTGTAGATTCTGCAACAGTACCTATAGCGTTTTCTTATGTATTTGTTTCTTCTTGCAGATCTATAAGCTTATGAGAGCACTTAAGTTGAGTTTTTGTGCTTGTAGGCCTTAGCACAACATTTGTACATAAAAATAGTTAATGAATATTTATAGAATAAAGGAATGAAGTTATATATCATCCTTCTCAAAAATCAAAATTCCAGTCTTCCAAATAAGGTATCTAAATTCTTATGACATTCTATTTACCATATACCCAGACATCAGAAATTCACACCTAAAACAGTAGCCACTGAGTTTCTATAAATCCTCTGAAAATTTAAGTACATTCTAAAAAAATCACACATGGTTCCTGAAAAGTCAAACTAAGCTCCAGGTATATATTTTAAACTATTCATAGGAAAGAAAAAGAGCTTCTCTGACATGCTATGCTGAAAATTACCTGCTTATTTCATTACAAATGATATTTTAGCATTTAACATTTGGTGGTAATAACTGTTACTTTTTAAAACAGGTTTATTGTTGTCACTAATTTTTACACTGTTCCTTGCAGATGAACATTTTTTCAAAAAATAAATAAGTCAAGGTTAAATAGTTTACCCACAGGTACAAAGGTAGAGATGGGGGAGGTCTCATCAGATGTTTATTAATTAGTATCTTTTCTACAAAATCACATGCTGACTAGCAGATGAAGATGAATTAAACACATGATCATATCTTCTGTTACCTAATACCTCAATAGGAATCCATAAAACACTGTATTAAAACAATCATAGGAAATAATAAATTTAGAAAATGATAGTGATAGGCTGGAGAAAACTGTCTAAAGGGATTGGTATAAAGAAAACTGTCACAGATAAATAAATGAAGAAATAAGGCAAGAACAGGTTTAAATATTGCTTCAAGCATGGCTTGTGTTACAGCACATAAAGTAGCTTAAAATATAAGCCCCAGTGTTTTCTTTGTAGTTTTTCTACATAAATACAGATATTATAATTAGCCTTTATGTTTTTCAGAAAACACTAATCCATGGTCAAAATAATTGGTTCAATGAGCTGGACACCTGTAGTAAGTTTCGGAAGAGAATACTTGCTTGTGGGTCTGAAATGATACCAACTATTTGGAGATAATTTACTTTAGAAATTTACATATCCAAATCATGGAGAAAATTAATATTAAAATAGAGAAAAAATAAAGCAAAAACAAATGTTTTAAACACTACTGGAAAATACATTCAGAAGCAGATGCTGCTTGCAAGCAGATATTTTATATAGAACAGTGTTTTAAGGACAGAGAAAGATGATAGGTTTTCAAGGATTCCGTTGTCACTGGATATAGGCATTTGCCTTTTGTATGTATTTAAGAATTTGCATTCTTATTCTGTTCTGAGCAGAAGATCTTTTTCTAGCGCAATGATAGCATGTGGTGTGTTGTGGTCCCGAAATGTGTGCAGTGAGGTCATTATCAACCCCAGACTAGTTTCTGTCTTTAATGCACATTAATTCACATGTCATCAGACATGAAAACTAAAGTGTTTAGAACCTATGTTCTTTTGCTTTTTGTCTTTCTGGTGTCATCAAAAGTAAAAAAAAAAAAAAAATAAATAAGCACCACCTTAGAGTATATGAATGACCAGGAAATAAACATAAGAATAATAAAAAGTCAAATCATGTCCAAATTAAATTAAAGAAAATGAATCACAGAAGTTTCAAATAGAACACCCATTTGCAAGTAAATGAATTCCAAATTTGGGCAAAGTTTTTTGGAGTTTTAGACTATTAGCATGTAGTCACAGTGACACTTTGTGTTCATTGTTAGGGAATGCACTCTAGGAAAGTGCTAGATGAATGGATACCATGATGCATTGTGCTGGGAGCATTGCTACAGAATTCATCCTTGGGAGATCCAAGAAAGAAAATGAGAAACAGAGTGAATCAAACTGAAACATGTAAACCCAGAGGAGTGGACATATAAATATAGAGTGTTATTAACACATAGATAATGTCCTTCTGAATTCACTAATATTCTTTGTATTGCACTGTTCAACATAGCATACGCTCTCTGCTTTTTAAGTAACTGACCTAACCTCTAGATCTAAAATATTTGTTCTACATCATTTATTTAGAGATGTTATTTTAATTGTTACTTAACATCTCAGTGGATAATTCGGCTTATAATTCTCTGAAATAAAATCAGACAGAAACTTATTTAGATTTAAAAGTTGAATTTTTTCTGCTTTTATCTGATGAAATAAATGGCAATACATTTCAATGACTACTAGAGAAAGAGAGAACAGCGTGAATCCAAGTATCCAAATATATAATTTTACATCATCATGTTAAAGAAGGATATTTATATTCTTTTATGTAAAAAGTATATTTTATTCTAATACTGCAGCTGTCTTTGTAAGGGTTGTATAATACAGATTTAGAGAAAAAAATTTAAATAAAAACATAATAGTTGGATTTATTAGAATATTTATATTCTAATAAAGTAGCTTAAAAATAAATTTTAAAATATCCTGACAATTAAATTATGGAATTGGATTGTAATGCAAAACATTAATTAGTATATTAAACATTAAACATTAAATCCTTAACTAGTCTGTTGAGAAAGGAACACATAAGTGTCCTAAGTTGGAAGGCCAAAGGCCAAAGGACAACTGGGGTATCAGAAGCATCACCCACAGATGGTGCCTGATCCATCTTGTTCCAACCTTATTTCTATATATAATTCCTCATATATATACATATATATGAGGAATATAAATAAATATATTTATTTATATTATAGATATGGTATTATCAGTTGTCTAAATACAATTTAGGAATACTTGAAACATAACAGCTATCTAGATAGCTAAGTAGGGATATTTGAGAACTCTTGATAGAAACTTTGAATATGTCTGATGATATATGTCTATACACTTATACATACAAATATGTGTAGACACATACACACAAACACACATATATGTTTAAATACAATTTATGTATATGAAATTTTAGATTAATTTGTATCTACATAGATTAAGTCAGTTGCAGACCTAAGCAGGAATGGCATATTAAAAGTAAAAGAACAGAACTTTGGAAAGTTGAAAATACGTAAATCAGCAATTTTGTATTCATTCAGATGATTTATTGCCTACTTTCTCCTTTTGTTTACATTCGTAGATAAACTTTTTAAAAAAATACTAGCCGGGCATAGTGGCTGTAATCCCACACCTGTAATCCCAGCACTTTGGGAGGCTAAGGCCTTCGAGACCAGCCTCGCCAACATGGTGAAACCCCATCTCTACTGAAAATACAAAAATTAGCTAGGCGTAGTGGTGCACGCCTGTAATCCCAGCTACTAGGGAGGCTGAGGAAACGGAATCGCTTGAATCTGGAAGGCGGAGGTTGCAGTGAGCTGAGATCGCGACACAGCACTCCAGCCTGGGTGACAGAGTGAGACTTCATCTCAAACAAAAAAAAAAAAAAAAAAGAAAAAGAAAAAAAAAAGTAAGTAAAGCCCAACTTGCCCCAAACACAGTAACTAATAAGGGGCAGAGCAAACATTCACACCCAAAGCCAGGGAGCTGAATGTTCCAGAACCCTACTGAAGTGCATCTTAATTTACTTAATAGGTTTGAATCTAAGAAGCTGTGTACAATTCATGTTTTATAAACTCTGTCCTTGCCAGTGAATTCCCTTGAATTTGGAAGAATCCTTGTGTAGTCCCTTAATTTACATGGTTTCTAACTTTAAATATTCATGGATTCACTGTGATTTGCTAGGAAAGGGATGTTTGTTATTATTCGAATGCTTTCCTTCATATCAAGTAATCAATAAATGTAAAATTATAAAACAAACTGCAGTTAAAAAACATTGTCACTAAAACTATAGTTATAGCTTCATCAAGTCAGCAACTCTGGACCCCCTAGCAAGAAATGAAATATTTAGGAGGATCTGTCATTGTTAGAAACTGTGTCATTTTGAGGGTGAAAGGAGTTTGATCAGCAATTACATCAGGGCAACTGGAGTAAATAGGGACAGTCTAAGAAAAACTGATCACTCTATTAGTGAGGGCAACTTGAGTGATAATTTTCATTCTGCACATTATTGGTACTATCCATTTATATTTACATATATGTTTTAAAAATTCAGAATTGTAGAAGTATCAAAATTGCTATAGAGTTGTTCCTCAGTATGCATAGGGAATAGGTTCCAGAATCCCTGGTGGATACCAAAATCTGAGGATGCTCAAGTCCCTTATATAAAATGGCACAGTATTTGCATATAACCTATGCATAGCCTCCCACATACTTTAAATCATCTCTAGATTACTTGTAATACCAAACACAATGTAAACGTGATGGAAGTAGTTATTATACTGTATTTTTATATGGATCTTTTTGTTTTATTATTATTCTTTAATATTTTGATTCATGGCTGGTTGAATATGATACAGAACCCACAAATATGGGAGACTAATTTTGTAAGCAAAACCAAATGGTCAAGCGGATAATGAAAAATCCAAGATACTCCTAATCTTGTAAGATAAGAAAGAAATGCAAAATGAAAATGATAAATTTGTTTTAAAGTATTATTGTTGGTTGGTGAAGGAAGAAAGCTCTAAATACAAGCCAAATAAAAATAAATACTACCATGATTGCTACTATCACTACCCCAATCCCCAGTCATCTATACTAGTGAATACTACCACGTACTAGGAACTGTTGTGTGTTTCACAGACACTATCTTATATAGCTATTAGAATAATTATGTAAGTAAAATATATTATCCACAATTTACATAAGAGAAAACCGATGCTAAGAGAAATTAATATTTTTTCCAGTATCAGCTTGGAAATGGCACAAGTGGGATTTGAGTAATTTTTTTTTCTCTAGAGCCTATGCTTTTTACTAAAATGTCTAGAGAAAAAAATCTTGGGATTGTAAGTGATAGTTGACTCATGGATCAAATGTATTACCGTTAGTGTGATTAAATGTGGTATTTGATCTATGATTAAAAGTAGACGATGTGCCTTAGTAATTAGGTCATTAGGTGGGAAATCAGAATATAAAAGTCCAGTTCTGGTTTTTCTTTCACTACTTACATGGCGCTAAGCAAGTTCCTGGCTCTCTCTGGGCTCCCTTTTCTTATCTACAAAATTAGTTACTTCACTAAATACCCATTATAAATGGTATAATGGGCTCTATAAGAGCCCATTTTTAAATGCGAGACTTCATTTCTAATATTTCGTGGAACCCAGAAATAAATCAGATATAACTTCAAGTCTATAGTAAAATTGCATTTGAAATAGCTGTGACTTCTTCATAATTATTTGAAATAGCTGTCACTTTTTCATAATTATTTGAGTAGTTTTGATGGATAAAATAAACTTTAAAAACAATCCAAGAATTCTGGAAATCAAGTCCTGACCTAAAGTATACTAGCATTTATTGAGTGCTTAAAATCTGTTATATATTACCTAATTAAATCAATGTAAATGTCCTATGAAATAGATACTATTAACTTTACCTTATAGATGAGGAAACAGACTCAGAAATGAAATTACTTCCTCAAGGTAGCATAGCTAAGAAGTAAATCAGAAATCAAATATAGATCTATCTTAATCACAGATCTATGTTTTCCATTCATTCACTTATTGAGGGATAATGTGTGCCAGGCAGTGTGTTAAATGCTTAGAAAAGAGATCAGATCTCTGTCCAGATGGAACTTACAGTCTACTGGGGAAATCATACATTGAACCAATACATGTAATAAATATAACCATATACATTGTTACATTTGTGAAGGAAAATTACAGGGTACTATGAGAATAAATAAGTGGGAGGACAATTCAAGATTGGGCCGTCAAGAAATGTCCCTTTAAGGAAATGAGATCTTTTCTTTTTTCTTTCTTTTCTTCTTCTTCTTCTTTTTTTTTTTTTTTTTTTTAGAAAATGAAACTTAATATATAAAGGATTTGTCTTGGTCAAAATGGGCAAGGAGCATTCCAGGCAGAAGAAATAGTGCAAAAGCCCTGAGGGGATGGCTGGAAGACACTATTCCAAGGGAAGCACAGCTAACGGCAAAGTTGGTGAGCTATGTAGGACCCAGAGATTCAAATTTTATTCTAGATTCAATAGGACCCCTTAAGAGTTTTATGCAAGGGAGTGATATGATCAAAGATTAATTCTTTTGTTTTGGCATTTCACTGGTAAACTAATGTCTCTCTCTCTCACACACACACACACATACACACACACACACACACACACAGAATGCAGCAAATTGAATTGAGTAAATTGAGTCAATGTTGAAGAAAACATGCAGAATACCATCAATGTAAAGCCCAGTTTAAAGCTCTCTAAGAAAGAGGGGAGCCACGTTGACTTTTAAGAGAAAATAGGCCAGGTGCGGTGGCTCATGCCTGTTATCCCAGCACTTTGGGAAACCGAGGTGAGCGGATCACCGGAGGTCAGGAGTTCCAGATCACCCTGGCCGACATGGAGAAACCCCGTCTCTAATAAAAATACAAAAACTAGCCTGGCGTGGTGGCTCAGCCTCCCGAGTAGCTGGCAAATGTATAGTCACACAAAATGGCAAGTTAATCGCTTGAACAGGGAGGCGGAGGTTGCAGTGAGCTGAGATCACGCCATTGCACTCCAACCTGGTGACAGAGCGAGACTCTATCTCAAAAACAAAAACAAAAAACAAAAAAACAGAGAGAGAGAGAGAAAATAACCACTGCTAAACCAGTAGTCAATTCTAATTGCAGGGATGGGGCAGGTGGGAAGTATGGATCGGAAGGTGGGTAGGATTAATCAAGAAACATTTCAAAGAAGTAAGATCTACTTAAATGCAAAATGCCTCATGAAATCCTAGTGCCAGGACATTTCTCTGGTAGTAT
This sequence comes from Homo sapiens, assembly GCF_000001405.40. Lineage (NCBI taxonomy): Eukaryota > Metazoa > Chordata > Mammalia > Primates > Hominidae > Homo > Homo sapiens. The sequence continues at coordinate 78,312,128 of NC_000013.11, read as the reverse complement.
TAGTCAGAGTAATTGGATAATCTAAACTTAATTTGAAAAAAAAAAAAAGCCATTTTAGAAATTCGGGCATGAGATGATGATGGCTGGACCTATGACTGAGATCCTAAATGACAGATGATTGGTTGGACCACTAGTGACTCTGCTAGGCTCTTACCGTAGATGATCTTTTAATGCATGTTTTCATTATACCTTGCTCAGAGAAAGCAGAGATTTCTTTGGCCAAACAGACAGTAGGTGGATGTTGCTTTCCTTCACAAATGAGATAAATTCATTCTGAACCACAAGAAAGAGCTTAGACTGTGGGATAATCTAGACTTCAGTGCAAGCATCACTTCAGCCTTATGGCAGTCCATTAGCTTAAGCAAACCCTGTACAATATTGTCAATTCAATAACATCAGGTCAATGGTAAGGTTTAGGAGATGCAGTTATGTGTACATTAGCATATGCTCTCCTACCTGTGCAATAGCAGGGAACCTAATTGACATGTGAAAGTGCTTTGGATATGATGGGTGTGTGGGGGAGGAATGGAGAGAAAGGAAGAGGTCATAATTCAACAAAGTCAATTTACTGGTTGATATTTCCTGTTCACTACACCTTTAGAGCCAGACATTGCAATCCTCACCTGTGTGATGAATTGTTATTTTCCACATGTGGGGCTTAGTTTTATCCTTCTTGTCCTATCAACTTTGCAAATCTGCTTGCCTCATAGCAGGGTTCTGAGGGTTAATCATTTATTTAGTGTGTAGAAAAGTACTTTAGGCATCTCAGAAGAAATATCTTATATAGAGAATAAATAATACAACAATAACAAGCTGGTGAGTTTTAGTGTGTGTGCACCTCTCATCTCAAGTCCCGCCTGGACCCTAGCAGTTCTTCATCTGTGGGTGGTCAGGGTGAATTAATGAAGTAAAACACACACATTATTCCTGGATCACAAAATAGGTCCAGTGGATAATAGGAGAAGAGCTCCTAAGAGTTGCTCTAAAGAGGGAAAGATAAACAGAACAGCAAGATAATCTAAAGAGTGGATGCTTAACCTTTTTATTATTCAAGAAGGCCTTTCTAAGACTTCATGGGGGTTATATGGGATAGTGTGGGATCCATTTCTTGTTTATGCACTCTGCCCTACCCCACCCCTGGTTTACTTTTGAATATGCACTGGTGACCTGCAGGATGTCTTTTAAGAGATAAAATGTAAGCTCTTTTCTCCGGCAATGGACTTAAAATAAACATTAATATGTAATCACCAAATGCAGATTCATAAACAAAAAAATTCTCAGTCTGCATAGACCAATACAAAACTAATAGAAACGAAAATTTCTCTTCCTCATCACACAGTTGTGAATATTGCCCCCCTCAGTCTTCATCTATGAGCAGAGAACCCTGCTACATGAGTGTATAGACACACAAAATGGAGAAATCCCTCACAGAGATGAGTCAGCTATGAACTAAGTTCAGCTAGGGACTCTGGAAACTTCCATTCCACTAACAGCCCTGTTTTCTGATTTTATTCAGATTCCTCAGAGGCAAAGCCTGTGATCAGTTAGGTCAATTCATATGAGGGTGAAACTGGTGCAAACCCAAAGTCACTTATAATCACTTTCCTTGTGCGGATGCCTCTACCTAGCCACAAGTAGTCAGAGAAGGTCATCCACAATCTTGAAGGAATTAGTTCAGTCAGTTAGCTTGCTTCCTTCTTAACTCCACTGGAGCTCAACCTCACCTGACAAGTAGGATTTTGATAGAAGAAAGAGGAGGAGAAGGAAGAAAGGTAATTTTTGGAACAGGGCAGTTTGAAAAAGTGAATAGAAAGCTTAGCTCTCTTGAGTTGCTTTTCATGTAATTAGATGCTCACCTAATTATAACAAAGAATTAGAGTCTGATCCAAAGGCAACACAAAGTAATTAGGCATTTGCCAGACAGAAGAGAAGTTATACTTTTAAGTGCTGGAGAGGGAAGTGTGAAGTCTTCAATGGCAATATTGGCAGGGTTTGAAACTGCCTCTGGGATTTTTTTTTTTCCTGAATCCCAGGCCAAATTAATTAATGAGTTATAGACATCAGGTTGCACTAACTTTGAGGGCAATTCTAGTAGTATCGATCAGCAGTTTGCTTTCATTTTCTGTTCACTGTTTGAGCTACTTATAGAAGATGAGTACACTTCTAATGACTCGCTAGTATTTGCATGTCATTTTAGAGTTGTCAGAGTGCTTTCGTGCTGAACCTTCTCAATAACCTGGAAACCAGATGGAAGGACTTCACTCGATGCCCCCCAGAACTAAGTGCTGCTCCACTTCTTCTGGAATGAACTTTTCCTAAATTTTTTTTAACTCCTGCCACACATCCTACCACTGTCCCTCTAGCATCCTGCTCTGCAGGAAGAGTGGAGCCTAGCAGGTAGCAGGGAGGGAGGAGTGACCCAGCTTCTGAACTCCAGGAACTTCAGCCTTCTGTGCTCAGAGAAGCAAACCAGTGTCAGCATATTCAGCTGTTTGCTAACCAGGCAGGCTGCTCAGGAGAAGGCCCAAGGTGAATTGAGTGCAGCAACAGAGAGCAGTTCTGCAGGAGGGTTTCTAATGCCACTGGAGGTTAGGTAGGGATGCTCCTTGGAGGAGAATCAGCTTGGGCAACACCTTTCAGATGCAGCAGAGTGCAGCTCTATTGGAGGGCAGAGCCGAGGATAAATTTTTATGGCCAGGCCTATGGAATGATTTGGAGGCAGAGATGGAAATGAGAGGAAGTGAATCTTGGTTCAATGTATACCTGGGAAGGGGATATCGCATTTTCCCAGGACACCAGGAGGAGAGGAGCATGTCTCTAGGTGGTGTTGCCCACAGAAGCTTGACGGTCTTTGGCTCACTCTGTTCAGCAGCAAGGAAACTGCTCACCCTCTTGAGGGCCTAAGGTGATGTAGATGCCTGACAATATCCCTTGATTTCTGTTGTCCATCTTTTATGACAGCAGCATTCACCCCATGCCTTTGGGGCTGAGGTGCGTTCTGCAAGAGGCTCTGTCCAGGCTTAGAAGTCTAGCTGCTCCTCCTTCCCTCACCTCCCACTTTTCTACAGCCTTCTCTTCTTCACATTTGCCAGCTACCCACAAAATAATTGGATCTGATTCTCTCTAGTGATACAAAATTATTAATTCTGCTCTCCCCTTTCAGGTAGAAAAGAAGGCAGCTCTCCATTCAATGAAGTAAATGCGTATTTGGGGTGGGGGGTGGGTGATGTAACATTTATCACTTGGAAAAATCAATAATCCAAATATTAGCAGGCCTCATATCCTCTTAATAGCCTCATGTTCAATACTTCTTACTCCGGAAAAACTTTCACCTCCTTTGGTGGGAAATCTCCATGTGTAAGGAATATAGATCCCATGCCTGAGGCAAAGAGTAGATGATTCTATATTCTAAATAGTTTGTGGTGGTACAAAATAAACTGTTTAATTCCCAATATTGAAAAATATTTGTTTTTAATAGTGCTAGTAACATTTTACCATCAAACATAATTGCTTATTCATTTAATCATTTAAAGCAATGTATTGGTGGAGAAGCAATTTTAATATTTCAGTACAATGTAATATTCAACTTTTTCAGTCATGTGAATTCCAATAACATATTAGAAATAGAGTCTCCAGGAAAATCAGACCAAAACTTCATTAAGGTATAAAAGAAAGAACTTGTGTCTTGTGTGTGTGCGTGTGTGTTTTTTTTGTTTGTTTGTTTGTTTGTTTTTTGAGACAGAGTCTCACTCTGTTGCCAGGCTAGAGTGCAGACAGAGGCACGATCTCAGCTCATTGCAACCCCTGCCTCCCGGGATCAAGCAATTCTCCTGCCTCAGCCTCCTGAGTAGCTGGGACTACAGGGGCACGCCACCACGCTTAGCTAATTTTTGTATTTTTAGTAGAGATGGGGTTTCACCAAGTTGGCCAGGATAGTCTTGATTTCTTAACCTCATGATTCACCTGCCTCAGCCTCCCAAAGTGCTGGGATTACAGGCGTGAGCCACTGCACCCGGCCAGACTTATTTCTTTGTTCTCAGCACATTTCCAGTGAATCCCAGCCCAAATGAAGAATGAGTTACTTAAATTGGGTTGCACAAACTTTAAGGGCATTTCTAATAGTATCGATCACCAGTTTCCTTCCATTTTCTGTTCATAGTTTGAGTCACTTGTAGAGAATGAGTACATTTCTAATGAATCCCTGGTATTTGCATGCTGTGTTAAGAGTTGTCAAAGTGCTTTTGTAAATCTAATTGTTTGTGTCCTCAGAAAAAGTCTCTTAGGTAGACAGAACATCTAAGTAAAGGCATTATAAGCATTCCCATTTTACAGGTGAGGAAATTGACACCCAGAGATGAAAGGATACGCAGATCAAACAAAAGATAGATGTTACCTTTTCCAGATTATTTTAACCATAATTAGGTGCCTGTTTTTCTTCTTCTTCTTTTTGTCAATAATAGGCATAAGTTGAAACAAAACTTATTTTTGTCGTTATTGAAAGAAAAAAGTCTTAACGTGTCTGACCTACTCAGATGCTGGCTTTGACTGACTTCTAGCTCTGGTCCTGGCTGGTCTCTGTTCTCTCTAAGTAACATGATTCTAATCAGTTTGGACTTCACTTGCTGTCGCGCAGTCCCCAGTGAGGCGTCAACATTCTGGCCACAAATTTGAAAATAAGTTTAGAAAACAATGATAAAAAGTAGATTCTTCTACCAGAACTAATAGGTATTCCCTGGCAATTCCTTCCGTATTTTTGCACAGCGTATGCTGTTCATAAATAATGTCAGAAGTGAGCCTTTGCTCCTTTAGTAAGGTGGTCATTTAATGTAAGTAAATCCACATTAAATATTGAAGATCAGAAAAAAGCAGCCTCTTCAAAGAGGTCACATTTAAGTGAAGGAAAAAAAAAAAAACAATGTGTGGGGAGAAGACCAGCCTGGTGCTGGATGGCACAGAGTTAATGGCTCAGAGAGAGCATATCCATGTTTTTTAAAGATGTTTTATTACTTACAAAAGGAAGTAGTCTTGAGAGACTGGATACATAAACTGGCTCCAGCCAGCTGCGGCTGTCGGACTAGGAAGGATCCTGTTCAATTAGTGTTGTAAAATAAAATACTTTGTAAAGGAAATAAACATGATGCGAGCTAAGATTCATGCTTTCAAATATACACAAGGTTTGAATTTTTAATTAGGGCTGCTAATTACAGTCATCAGAAAGCAGAGCAGAATAGATTTTACCTTACATTTAGCAGACAAGCCTTCAACCCCAGTGTATTTTTCAATTTCATTAATATTTTATGAAAATGGCCCTTGCAGCTTCAGCCTATTCCAGTCTCCTACAAAACTGCCCCATATTATGGATGCCAATGCCTTTAAGCCATGTACATTAGTGTGATGACAAAATGCAAAACAGCATCTTGTCAACCATTGCATCAATTGATTCTATTAGATAGTGTAAAAACAGTTGGGTGTGAGTTATAATCTCAGTGACACTAATGATGAAGCAGGACACTGGCTGAGAGCAGCCATTAGCTATAAGCCAGAAATTAATGATTCTAATATTTTTGAACAAATTAACCTTAATGAACTGGTCTTGCAAATACTGTATTATCTACAGATAAGTCAGTTAGTGGAACAACACTGTATGTGTACATGTACACGTGGCGAACATATATAAATATGGGCATTAAGCAAACACCAAATCTATGTGTAGGGGCTTTATATGTTTATCCATCTTTCATGCCTGTTTGTACCTCATAAACAATATAGATACAACTAGTCACTTCCTTGACTGTAATGTAATTGGTGGTAATTTGGTATTTTATAAAATTGCCTGTAACTTAGTGGGAGCATAAATAAAACATTCCCCCAAAATTAAAGGGTAACTGACTGTAAGAAAATATAATTTTATATTTAATATACAGAAGATTCTCCTAAATGTAAAGTGAATTTTTTTGTAAAATAATTACTTCCGTTATGGTGAAGAATGTATCATCTCTTCCCTATCTTGTTCATCTATTTTGTTAGGTTTGGCATTTTGTAAGTAGGGTTTTCATAAAATAAGCCATGCCTGCCGTAGTTCCTGGGATGAAGCATACTTTTACCCTCTGTAAATACTTTGGAAGAGTTCATACAGTGATCCCAAACCGTGCATTGATGGAACAGCTTTGAAAGTGAAAGAAAATAAAGTCACAGGCACTTTTTGCTCAGTTTCTGCACAAGAGCAAAAAGCTCTACAACGGCTTTTACCCATTATTTCATTCCCTATAGTTGTTAATGTGGCAAAGTCAATGGAACTCAGCTGTAATATATTTTACAGACATCTCAAATGGAATATGCTACCCTAAAACAGTTCACTGCCAAATTCAACTGTAGTTGAATGTTAATGATATTTCGCAGTGGTTTGGTTTGTTGATTTCTTGTTGTTTCCTCGACACAATGATACTTGAGTTTTTCTCTCTTCATCTCAAATTCTGCACTCATGTGGCCACACTTTTCATTACAGAGGGCCTCCACTTTTTAAAAAAGTGTCTCAGTATCCACTGAAATCTGTGGTGCCAAATCCTAGAAATGTATTCACAAATACTGAACGAAACCCAAATGGCTAATTTAAAGAAGAGGAAACAAAAGTAAGGCCCTTGCCAAGAACAGTTTGTTGGCTTAACTTTGACTTGCTTTCCTGAGAAGGAAGAAAACAGAATTTTCAATGTGAACTGTCAGCCCTAGTTATGACAGAAGCTCACTAGTGAGAGATCCAGAGTCAGTCGCTCCTCCATTGGCAGAGAGAAGCAAAGAAACTTTCCAAACAGAATTCTTTCAAGCTTCCTCTACAACTCCACTTAAATAATTTACTTTTTATTTTTTCTCAGACTTTTCTTTTTAAAGTTGGCTGACATGTGCATTGACGAGCATGCTTTACTGCACAAGATGACTTGTGTATTTGGAAATGGAAAAAAATCACAAAAACTCCTCCAACTCTGAGAATATGAGAACTACTATATTTACTCTGGGGAAATACAGTTAGCCTGTACTCTGTCTCAAGCCAAGGGGACTAAATATAAATTAATAAAAGTAAAATAGCTGCTTCTGAGGAAGGTAGGTTACTAATCTAAGAACCAAACAAGCGGCTGTGTATCTAATTCAGCAAACTCTAACTGGTCATAGAACTGTTTGATTTAGGCCGAAAGGCATTAAATCTGTTTGTTACAACATAATACATTAATCGGTGAAAACTTATCTTTAAAATGCATCATTTTGAAGTTCTGACAGTTACTGAGAAGTATAGTAGTTGAATACAATGATGTGGGAATAATGTCTTAAGTATAGCTACTGATTTTCTAGATCCTTGGCGTCATACTTCAATATTTATGGTGATGCTTAGTGACTAAAATAGAAGGTGGAAAGACAACAGGGCTATTTAAGTCTTTTTTAGGCTTTTGGATGATAAATGGAATGATTGACCTATGCTGGCTAAGTACCTTTACACTGACATAATACGAAAGACTCTTCCCTACTTATACTGTACAAGGATTAAAATCAACTTTTTTACAGAGAGAAACATTTTATGAATTTATTTTTAAAAGGTTGTATTTTCTAAGTCATAATAAAATTTTCTTCAAATAAAAAATTTTTTCTCCTCTTCTACCTCTAAAATGTTTTATGTAGTAGTACCTTTTAAAATGGCTCATAGAATTTTATCTAATATACAATTTTGTATTATATAGAGTAAATTTTATAAGATATATTATTAAAGATGTTTTTAAATTTCTCCTTCATATCCTTTTCCTCATTTATAAATCTTTCAATTGTTACTAAGGAGAAAAAACCTAACATAGAGGATGTTGCTTGGCCACAGGTGTTTGACATTAACCACTTCCAAATCTATGAGTTCTTCACTATTGGATGGGAACATAGTACTTTATTACCAGGCGTACAATTATATTCAGACCAAAGTAACAAGTTGCATAATTGCCCTAGAATAAATTGCTCTGAAATATAGTTTCAACTTTCCATGAGAGATCTACCTAGAATTACTTTGAAATTATGGTAAATGCTGAGGATAGGCCAGCACAACTTTTCCTAGTGGCCTACAAGGCATTTATTTCTAACAACAGATTTTTAAAATTTGTAATTAATGAATATTTTGGAATTTAAGTGCAAATAGCTATTAGAAAAAAATTTGATTTGCTAATTAGCCAAATAAAAGATATTGTAAAATTCACTTGATTAGGAATTTGACATGCTGCTCTGCAGCATCCCATCTACCCAACAAACATATACCATATATATATATATTTGCACACACATACAGTATATTTATGTACTATATATACATAAAACATTGGTAGTTTATAATCTCCATCTATGTAGTGAGCTCAAAGTGATTACTTTTTATATCTACTTTAATATTTATTCATTCATTCATTTACTCATTCACTTATTTTTCTTTTATTTTTATAGCATGTATGAATTGATCATCTATAGCTGTGCTGTACTATGACCACATGTGTCTCTCAAGCAGTTTAATTGGACTAGTCTGAATTGAAGTATGCTGTAGCTGAAAAATAAACACTAGAGTTCTCATTAATATAAAATCTCAATTGATTATGTGTTGAAATGATAATTATTTGGACTATTGTGTTAAGTCAATTGTATTATTAATTAACTTCACTGGTTTATTTTTTACATGTGACTATTAGAAAATTTAAAGTTACGTATGTGACTCATTATTTTCTATTGGACAGTGCTAATCTACAAGGTAGTCAATACAGTGATAAGCGCTGAGGATTCTAAGATGAAAACAACAGTGACTTGGCCTTCAAGAAGCTTAGTTTAATGCTAACATGGAAAGTGTGGAGTAGAAATTCTAACTATATTATTTTCTAGTGGCTTGATATCCAAAGCTAAATGCCTTTTCATATTGCTTTTTCTTTTGAGTCAGTATTCACAATATATAGAAGTCATTTAGCCCTTGCAATGTTCTGAGGAACTCCGTGTTTTTGTCAGATTACCCTTGCACTGGGTTGAAATAACTTGGATGCTAAGTGGAATCGGCCTATTATGCTAACGTTTTACTTCAGGAAGACTTCAGTCACTATTTAAGACCTCAGCCTCATGGAGAGGCGGAGCCCACTGACAAACCTCCAAGGCAGGCACTGGAGCAGGTTTCCCAGAGATGGTTGTTCTGGTGGTTGGCATTCCACATCCCTACTTAGCTTAGGGCTGATGACAGGACCACTCAGGGATAGGGGTACACTCAGTTGTCTTCTCTGGGAATGGAGTTTTTCTCTATAGCTGTGACTTTGGCCTCATGAGCTCGATACTCCCACCGCTATTGATCTGGTTTAAATGGCAAATAGTGAAATATGCTATCCTTGGAAAAGAGACGTTATACAGGGAGATTTTGCTCCATGAAAGCAAGCCTACCTCACTCATATGATATCCATGGCAGTGCTGGACCACATTAATTATTTTCCAGAACCATGAACAGTAGTTTAGCTTCCCAACAAACACTTTTATTTCTGCCACGGCCAGATGCTCTTCTTGTCTCCACAACAAAATGTTTTAATGATTATAAGCAGTTCTATTTTTTCACATTTTCCTCAGAGTGGCTTTTATTAAAGTCAGTTCATGTATGCTTGCACATACACAAAACTTAATTTCAAGGAGGAGTAAAAGGAATTTTTGACATCCCAGCAATGGCATTTTCTTTATGACAGTTCTAAAATGTTTTGCCTGTGGGGAAAAGAGGTGGAGTTAGTGACTTGGCAGTCACTAAGGCGAATGCAGCCTTGTTAGGATAGACAAATCCAATTGCTCCGAGTTTTACTGTCTGGTCTAGGCTCCCCTGCTTACCACCTGATTGGATAGTGATGGGGATTGAATGACAAGAATGACAAAGACCACAGGGCCATCGCTTTGTGGCTGGAATTGATGGCTCTGTAAGTACAGTTTTTCACCTTCAATACATTTAAACACCCAATGGTTAACCTAAAGTACCTCAGATTTGCTTCTATTCTTATTTACACCCCCTTTACAACTGAATTAAAGTCCCAAAAGACAAACATTTTTATTGTTCAGATGGTTAACTAAAATCTTTATTTCTGTAAACTTTGTTTTTAATTTCCCACATTACACTGACCTATGTTTCCGTAAACTTTTGATTAAGAATGTTCATATGATATTTTACTAAAATGTACAATTGAGCCTCTGACTCCACAGTAGATAGCCAATTCGCTCACATTGTATAACATTTCATCAATTTAATATGTTTTGTTTTTCACAAATATTATTAAGAAAAATTGTTATAATATTAACTAGAAAAAATAAACAATATTAAGCCCTTCCCTAGTTTAGTTTATGTAATAATAGATTACTCTGGATCATTTTCTAGTAAACCCAAATAATAACCTTTGAAGGTAATTCTTATTACAATGGTAAACAGAATGAAATTTCATTGCTCAGGATGACATATTTTAATCAAAATGTCTGATGTCAAATGTTTAAAAATTAAAATATGTCAAATGTTTAAAAATTAAAATATTGCATCTTTGTTTTTATATGTTGTACTATATAATAAAAAATGGTTGAGCTAGCCACATTTCATCGGCAGATAAAGCACAGTATTAGCTGAAAGCTTTAGTTGACACATGCAAAAGCCCTTTCGATTATCTTTTATATTACAGTGGGAATAACATTTATGGCAATTATTTTAGGAAAATTAGTTACCTAGAAGCTCTGCAGTTGCCTTCAGTCAAATCAGAGCCAATTTTAGATTAAAGATCATTTTGGTCAATTTGAAAAAGAAAAAATATAAGGTTTGACATATATAAAAATAAATGGGTTATGGGAAAGCCATATCAGATTGCATCTTAGGGGTATTTTACCATTTAAGTAAACTTATACTTGTATAAAATAGCACTTTAACAATAAGGAAAACATGAAGGCAGTAAGGTTAGGTTGAAAATCAACCTGTAAACTACCATGCTATTTTGGTAGTTAACAGAAGCAAAATTCTTATAACTATATTATATCTTAATTAGAAAATACATTAAATAATTAATTACATGAATCCATAAGCACTTAATTTTATAGTTATCGCTAGGTACAGTAAAGGATGAATTACTAATATTTTCTACTGTTAATACATGGTTAATTAATGATTAAACAGTGTTTTACTGCTCACTCATTAATGATTTATTACAGTTACTTAAACAGTTTTCCAGATTTGAGTGCCTTAAATAGACATCTTAACATTACTTTCCAGGTTTAACTTCTTTCCACTGTATTGGTTACTGTGTGTTCCATTGTATTATTCTGATCTCCTTTTAACTATGAATAGCAAATATCTTAATTACCCGAACAGTGAGAGCTAATCCATTGGCTTGCACGAATTTGACTACCAGAGTTGAATATGAAAAGGGGCATGGATCTTTTTGTGTCATTTCACCTTTGCTCTCTGTCCCATGGGTAGGTGTTCTTAAACTATGAGTGGGAGAAGGAACTATGAGATATTGAACCCAACAAACCCAAATGGCAACTCATCTTAAAATGTGTTTCTTGTTCTGGTACCTAGAGTGTTCTCAGGTTGATTCCAGTTCTGCCTGAGGTGAATGTACTTTGCAGGTTTGCTTAAGCAGGGGTATCTTCTTTTGTGGTGGCCAGTCATGGGACTGCAGAGACCTTCTCTTGGTCATGTGGCCTGTGACTCAGGTCAGCACATCTATGTGTTTCCAGGCATTCAGGAGGTGAGAGAGCATCTTTCACCTCTCACAGTGCAGTTCATTTAGAGATAGCCCATACCATAAGATATAACAGTGATGGAGTTTGTACTTGCTGGAAACTGATTCTTTATCACACATATGTTTGTCATTGCTTCTGGATTTGCCTAGAGTCTCCAAGAATGCAATTATATCTTCTGATATGTACCTGACAACCAGATTGAGGTGTTTTTCTTCCCATTTTGGGAAACTGCATGGAAATAGCTTCTGGGGTGTGACATTGCAATCTTAATGCTTGTCTTTATGTATCTATTTGTCCTTATCAGGGGAGTCTGTGGCTGCTAGGAGACTGTGCTTAGTTGGTTTGGAAATGACAGTAATGCTCTGAAAATGGCTTTCCTTTTCTAAAATATGACAGGCATGTGGTAAGGGTGAAACTACTAAAATTAACTCTCTTTTCTCCCATCTTTAAAAAAAATAGAGCTTTTAAGTATAGACTGTCAGAGGGAATGCACTGGTTTTACATCAGCTAATGAAAGAGAAGTCAAAGTCTTACAATAGTCTTAAAAATACTGATAAGCCTTATCTGATGGAAACTTAACTATATTCTTGCACTGTGAACCATTTTGCAATTATTTGCATTTTCTCCTAAATATAAAATTCTAAATAGAATTCACATCATGTAAAAAAATTGTATCATGTCTTTTTAAAACAAATAATTTAATGTACATTTAAGGTAATATGACACTTCTATTTCCCTAAAAATAGCAAAAAAGAAAAGTCAAAACATAAGTGCAAAGTTGAATGGAGAAGCCAGTATGTTGTGGGGTTGTTTCTTTCCTCCAGGGAGAGAAAACTGATAGAGATAAACTTGAAGATGTTCTAAAATACAGGAGAAAAATTGGTTAAGTATTACTGATTAATGTTATTTATTAATCAAAATTGTAGTTTACAAAGACTAACCCAGTTACATATTTGGATCAAGGAACAATAATCTTAGAATTACAAAATGCTATAATATAGGTCAATATATTAATAAGAATTATGTAATTACATGCGATAGAACAAAAAAAGTAGTTTTGATGTGCATTTCTAGAAACTTACAAAAAAGTCATATTTGCCTTTACAATTCAAGTAAATTTGGGGTTAAGACATTGAAATTATTTTTATATCACCCATTGCCAGTGAAGTTTTGCTAGAGGTAAGTTTTAAAAATTTATTTGCATTTTGTTAAGTGTCAACCCCTCATGAGGCAGGAATTGAATACTTAAAAACTCAAAGGAGGAGACTCTAAATAAAAAAGCATGGCTATTTAAATATGTTACAAATTTTATACAAGTTTAAAGCAAATTAATATTAGTCTATGATAACTTTTGTAGGTCATTGTAGATACTTTTATCTTGTTTCATCAGTGGAAGTTTCCATTATCCACTCATATTTGATCCTTGAGCTGTAGAATCAGTTCTCATTCATTCACTCACTAATTCACCACTCAGTCACTGAGTTTTGTTGAGTATCTGCTATGTGACTAGCACTGGACCAAGGAAGCACAGGGAACCCAATTTGAAAATGAAACCATCATTTAATTGTAATTACTCATGAGCAATTACAATATTGTGGTATTCTAGACAGAGTTGAATGACTCATTAGCAAAACAAAACATCAGTAGCCAAATGTCTCTTTATTTTTTTCTTTGATCATAGTAATGATTTACAATAAATCTGATAAAAAATTACGTTAGACATTGGCAGGCCCATCATCCAAAGAAACTTTGCATTCGGTTGCAGCTTCCACTATCCAGGGACTAGTCAAAGATAAATTCTCTTATAGTAACCTAAGAGAATAAAAGTTATTTCTGCATAATTTAAGAACAAAAATGAACTAAAGTTCTAGAGAATGCAGATCTTCATGTTAAAAACAAAGAGGTTCCATCTGTATTTTCAAAGATCTAGTCCTTTTTTTTTTGGATTGCTCCTTATAGAACTACTGTGTGCTTTGTGTGAGAATCCTCTTATTAGGGAAGAAACAATGCCCTTGACTGCCATTAAGGGTAAGCCATGACCAAGTGACCAGGTGTGATCAAAGAGAAAGGGGTGAAGCAGTATGTTGCTTAGGCTTCTGTTTGCCTTTATTCTGATCAAAAGGGGTTTTTATGGTTGTACAAGGTGACTTTGGGGCCAAATTATGCTCTCAATACTAATGAGGTAGACGGGAATGGAGGAGCTTTTTAACCTGTAGGCCCTGAACCCATATGGATAGGCTAAGTAGACTGGGGACTCCCTTATACTGTAGGCAAAATTTTAAGAGCATATGAATTTTTTAAGAAATGATCTCTAACTTTCGTTGGATTTTTCAAGGGTCTATCTCCCAAAAAGGAAGAATAATTGCCTTCAAAAATCATTTGAGTGACAATACTACTGCATCAGTATATGTTCTTTTAATTCTGGAATTTCAAGCTTTTTGTTATCAGACTGTTTTCTTCAAGTCAAGACTATGCAAAGTTGTGTGAATAGAAAGCTAACTTTCATTATTTTACATTAAACAAGTTGATTTCTGTATTCAGCGTTAGCCTGAGTATGCAGACATGACCAGAAAGTATATCCTACTGAGGGAAAAGAAAAGAAAGTTTTAGAAAAATATTTTTTGTCACATTGATGGACTCCATAACCTAAAATATCTTCTTTGGTTTTATATATGTACTGTCACAGACATTTTTATATAACTTTCTAAATCTTAGAGGAGTTGTAATTTTTCTTGGGTGACTGACCTTGAAAGAGTTTCTATTTTCAAGCAGAGATAAAATAACTCAATATATTTATGTCTCTCAATTATGGATAACTGTAGTTTGTTCCCCATTAGTGTATTTTTGTGACCTCACCCTTGCTACTTGAAAACTTTGCACAGTAATACTTTATTGTATCCTAAAGCCACCATATGTCATTTTCTACCTTCCTAAGATAGACACCAGGTGTCAGAAAATGGTAAGCTCTCAGTAGCTAAAGTTGAAGGTAATAGTCCTTGGCATGTCTAAATGCACTTGAAAAAAGTTTTTCTATGAATAAAAGATGTGGAATAGTCAGTTATGCTAAGATACCATTTCTAAGCACATAATCATTAAGATAATGAAAATTTTCTTGCAAAAGAAAAGTGCTTTGATTTTATTTAATCAGAGATCTTATATACAAATTAATAGATTAAATCAACTTAAACTGGTATAAATTTAAAAAGCCAACAATAAACAACCACCACCCTCACAACATAATCAATAAATTATCTTTTCTTCAACCATATGCGATGGCATATATTCATTCTGGCATTGAGCTCTGACAAATCTGTTAAGCGTAAGTGAGCCAGTGAAGAAAGACGAAAGTATATTTATTCCAATCTACACTATGTCCTCAGATAACTTGGTGGAGTCTAAATCTATGATATCCACCTAGGAAATTCCCATTTAGGAAGCCAGATATAAGCAAAAAGCTCAAATTACTTATAGGTACAATATTTCAACAAGGGAAGCCCAGATGGAACTTTTATAGAATCACACATAGCATGGCTCACTGTACTACAATACTAGGTTCAAGTGGCAAATCCCTTTTGAGGTTACAGTTTAGAGTAAAACAAATCTATTAATAATCAATGCACTCATACGACCAAAAATGTTATCAGCTGATCCAAGATGGAAAACAACAGGAAACAAGCCAAGAATCATTTTATTTTTGCCCTTCTTAGTATATGCATTGGATAAGAACCCCATTGGCCCTTTTTTAGCTAGTAATGTCTAATGCAGGAAGACAGGAATAAGCAGAGTAGAAAGTACCTGTCAGCTCTATTTCCCACTCTCCTTGATTAGCATGAAACATTAATAGGGCTTTCAGAAATTCCGTCCTGAAATGGGCTTTGCCTGAGAACGTGTCTGTCTTTACTGCACAAAAGCCACTGTCATTTAAAAAAAGGGCAGATAACTAAAGAAGACTCCTTCTTGAAATTTATACCTTTTCTCATACAATGACAAATTATTTTAATAATGGGAATCACACACACTGCCATTTGTATAATGTTTCCCATAAAATTTCCCCATTAAATTTGCTCCTTTACTTGACTCATCTCTTTTTTAAAAAATAATGACACACACAAAATGATATATCATGCTTTCTTATAAAGAATTGAAAATGAACATACAGTAATGGGTTAACATACATTTTAATAAAATTTTCATTGTTGTGCATTTCACTTTTCGATACTGAAAACCAAAAATGTTCCAGTAACCTCAGGCCATGCCTAAGGATAAAACAAATCATATGGTGGTGAACTATTTTCACCTATTTATTCTTCTACAGAAAATATATTCAAAATACCAAAGAAAATCAAATGTGCACCAAAATAATTATACCTGGTCTTATGATCCCTTGCTACATACCACATGTAACCATACATAATAAAAATAAAACCAAGAAATGCTTTTGGGATTTCTGGAATTTTGGGGACGGTGGTATATTGCTTATTTTTATTTAAAATGACTGTCAGATTGATTTTAATTCTCCAAGATAACCAAAAAAATGAAAAGACATAGTGGGGTTCCAGTAAGAAGGTCATGGATCACAAAATACAGCTTTCAGTCCCTTAAAAAGCTGTACCCAAATTAATAATTGTATGGTTTAGTTTTCATGTATAGAAACTTTTGATTTAAGTTGAGTGCTTGTTATATTTTTGTAGGCAGTTAGTTTACAAAGAAATATGCATGTTATTGAACCTGTCCTTACAGACAACATGTCAGCTAGCACGTTCAGTGTCATTGTGTATGATTTCCTAAGAGGGCAAACACAGCAGAGAACTGCCCCAGGTAAAATGAGGTGTCTTCCAGAATTTTATTAAAAAGTACACTTTGTGGAAAACAATACCAATTGCCCCATTTTCACCACTTGGCTCTAATGGGGAAGCCCAAATGAAATGAGGTGCAAATTAAATGTGTATCCAATTTCTTTCTGGTGATTTTATAAGTGTAAAACTCTTAAAGCATTTTATAGGCAGATTCTGTAGGCACCAGTGATGAGGAAAATTGAAAGAACTAGTTTTCTGTATGTTTATTTAAGAAAAGCTGTTATTTAAAATATTACAAGTACTTTCTGTCCCATTAAGACAATAAAATTTTATTAGTTATCAGAAGGATGCTACTGATAGCACTGCTCTCAAAACAAGAGGACAGGATGAAGAAGCAAAGTGGAAAGCAGCTTAAAACCAGAACACTAAAAAAGTCAAATCTTACCAAATGAAATTGTTCAGCCAGTACCAGCGAACTCCCTCATGGTGGTAAACTTATAACGACTGTCAAACACACCCTAAAAGGATGTTTAAATTCTATACTATTTGTTTCCTTATAATAAATGTTTTGTTTCATGAATTAAAAACAAAGTATGTAAAGGATATACCTCTGATCTTTGTACTCTTTTAAAATAGATCTATGTCCAAGATACATAAAACACAGCCTGTAAAGCGAGACATGCCCTTCAGTGACACTGACAACTGAAATTGACTTTCTGAGCTGGGACCCTGAGGAGGAACTATTCCAGTCATAGGTCCTGATGAGTCTCTGGGTGACATTACCTGGTGCCCTAATTGTTAGGAAGGCAAGTTAAGATTTTTCAACACAGCATTAAATCCTTACTAGTCATAAGGAGGCAAATGAAAACCTTATGTATTTGAAATACTAATATGAAAACAAGCTGTAAATAATGGCTGAGGGACTACAAATTGTTATTATATAGAGAGAAGGAACCACGAATAGGCACATGTACATCTCCAGCTAAATGAATAGGCACGTGTACATCTCCAGCTAAATGCTAATCAATAGGTCTATAGAAACATAAAGCTTAATTCCAGAACTATTAATGTGGAGCACTAGAATAAAAGGAATAATGCATATTCACTGCCCATGCTGCATTTTCTAGTAAAAATGCGTTGCACTCTGCTAGCTTGTCAATCTTTAATAGAAACTCATCAATTATTTGTAGGCAGGAGATTGAAACGGCTAATAGCTCAAATATATTCCTCCATTTCACTGCATCAGTAACTCTAAATTAATGCCT
The DNA here is from genome assembly GCF_000001405.40 of Homo sapiens. Taxonomy (NCBI): domain Eukaryota; kingdom Metazoa; phylum Chordata; class Mammalia; order Primates; family Hominidae; genus Homo; species Homo sapiens. Next base: position 78,294,325 of record NC_000013.11, on the reverse strand, counting down.
GTATTTTTTCTTTAAATTAAGTTTTAAAAAATAAAATGGAAATACTTGCTTTACTTTAGCATATGTTTAGCATACAGGTAAATAGGTACATTAGTAAACATTTGTTAATTGTCCCTTGACGATTAAAAAAGAGAAGCAAAGATTTATTTTTACAAGCAGATGAATGTTCCAGAAAGAAAGATAAAACTAACATTTATGCTTTTTGACATTAAAATTATCATAGCAATTCAGCTTCGCTAAAATTTCATGAAATAAACACAGCATAGACAATGCTTAAAACTTACTTCGCTTCTTTCCTATGACTGACATCATCTGATAACCTGCACTACACAATGTATATATCAACATATGTAGTTGAAATGCAGAGCGTTCCCCATACAACAAAGTCTACTCCATTCTCCCTAATTAAAAATGAAGCTTCTCTGACATTAATAGGCAGTAAAGCAAATTTATAGGCAGACACAGAACATTTCAGTCAAAAAAGTTAGCCTACAACTTGAGAGAAGGCAGGTTTTGCCAATCACATGCCAAGAATCTACCCTCCCTGACCCCAGTCATCTCTCAGATAGCAGACACTGGCATTCTTTGCACATCAGAAATACGCCAGCGGAGACCATTCATGAGGGAAATAGGAAAGCAAGTCACATTTGAGCAGACAACAAATGCTCCCAAACCTTGACCCACTACATGCGACAGTAAGGGAGCCGCGCACCCAGCACCCAGCAACGTGAGAATGAACAGGCACTGCAGGTACTCTGACCTAGTCCCTGTCCTGCTGCAGGATGCTCTATTCCCTGCACACAGCAGGTCTTTAAAAAAATAATAAAAGGAGATTTGCATTATCATTATAAGCTAGTACCCACACAACAGCACAGAACAGATGACACACTTACTGTAATGTCCCATGAAGCAAAGTTCCCATCTAGAGAGAGGCACTGTTTGCATTATTCCACTCCCTGAAAAAGGGTTAACCATTATGAAGAAACCTTATGCCAGACATTAGCAGACAGCCTACTTAGAGATTACATTTTTTCCATACATGATAAATCCTGGGTAAACCTGTTTTTCTTTTTAAACACCTTGCAGAGTGAAGCCTAGCACTGCATCTAGTTGCCAAAGCACAATCAATATGGAAGGAGCGGTATTTTATGATTGGAGAAGTTGTTGTGTTTTTGGTGGTGAAATTCATTATTTAGTATCTGAACCCTCAGCATTTCAGTATCATTTATTCATAAAGTCCCTTTTTGCCAGGAGGAAATGGATACAGCTGTAGAGAGAGAGAGAGAGTGCGTGAGAGACAGAGAGAGGGAGAGAGAGGGAGAGGGAGTGAGACGGATTGATGATATTGATCAGGTACCATCTTGAAACAAAGGCTAGGTGCTCTATTTTAGTTGACAACTGTGACACATAAAAAACAAGCAAGAGAGGGGGAAGGCTAGGGCCTTGAACATCACAGGCTTTAAAAAACGTTTGAAGAAACCATTATGACAAGCAGGTCTAGGGAAGCTGCTGCAAAAATGTATTCAGAAGAGTCATTAAAAAATGATGCTTTGTTTGCCTTGTGAATATGAGGTTTCTAGCTTGCTGCAGTGCTTGCTCCTACAGAGGAAATGAGGAGGTCTGCATACTGCAGTTACCTTGCTTTCTTTCTTGGGGACAGGGTAGGGGGATAGTAGAAGGGGTGGACGGGGTTATAGAGGAAGGGTCCAACATTTTTTCTCCTTAATCCTAAATGTGTTTCCCTCGATCGTGATTCTCCAGATTTTCCTCATCACCAGTGACTCTCAAGAAAGTTGACTATTTTGACATTTGAATTATTTATTTCTTATGAAATAGTTGAATAATGTAAATACCTTTAGAGTTAACTAATATTACAACTTCCTTGTACAATTTTAGTACAGAGAGTATAAGAAAGAAACATTATTTGAGCAGCATGCAGCTCCTGGCATCAGATCACAGACAGTATTTTTTCCTTCCCAATCATTCACATGGTTTTATGCCATGGGGACTAATTGAAATTAAGCAGGGATTCATTATTTGCTTCATCTGAAAAGAAGCCTGGAGATCTGACTGGCTTCTGAACTCCAGGAGGGTGTGTTCTTCTGCAGGTTTTGTAGGTATCTCTCCAGACATTTGTGTGTATTTTAAAAAAGAAAACGTCCTGGAAGCTCTCCAAGTCAGCCCAGCAAGGGCCTTCTTTGGAATTCAGATAAAAAAATAAAAAAAAGAAAAAAGGAAAAAAAGTCTCCTTCCTAGTAGAAAGATCATAATAGCACCAACTGCTTCTGGGAAATTGTACCCAATGAAGACGCTGCTAGTTCTCCCCTGATGACCACCTGCATCAGCAACTCGCAGTGGAAGCAAGCAATGTTTGGGTATCAGGGACCAAAATGGCTTTGCACAGTGTGGCTTACCCTAGGAGTGAGGTGACCAGGAAGGAGAGGAAAGGTCATTTTTTTTCCACTCTCCTCTTCATCTACCTTCTAGGTATTTGCCTAAATTAAATTATGATTGTTAAATACAGGCCTATCTTATAAATTGTCATTTCTATGTGACCTTGGGGAAGTTTCTTAACTTCTCTGAACCTCAAGCTCCCTGGGTTTAACTGGGAAATAATATATAGTTGCCAGAATTAAATAAAATGTGTGTGGTAAGTATCCAGGATGGTGCTTTGTGTATTCATTTCCTATAGCCACCATGAATTGTGTATTAATGCCAGTAAAAAAGCTTCTTTTTATTGTTGTTCTTAAAAGATAACTCTTCACATTGTTCTTCTATTTAAATAAAACGACATGGAAGAGAGAGATGGCTTATCTGGCATTTAGTTCAGCAGCAGTGTGGAGAACAGTTCCCATGAGGAGAATTAACAATAAATAGGACAATAAGATGGTGTCTAAACACACAAACAGTTTTTCTGTTTCTATGGTTTCTTCTTAAGCTGTATTTGGTAAAATAACAGTAATATTTAAATAGCCAGTTTGTTGAATTATTTCCTTTTGTTGTGATTTTTTTTCAAAATCAAAACACAATTTGAATGAAAACTACATCATCACATCCACTTGTATATATTTTCAAAGTTCTCAGAATTTATTTAACTTGTTAGGTCCAAAAAACACTGAAATAGCAATGCAGATAATTTTTATCCTAGTTTTTGAGATTAAAAAAACAAATCTCATGTGCATGATATTCTAAAGAGAAAAATGAGCAAAGTGTAGAACTTAGATGTTTTGTGCTTTTATGCCACTATATTTACTCATCAATCCATCCCTCTATCCATGCAAAAAGCATTTATTTGATCTTATTGTAAGATATACACTGGGTTATGCATTATGACAATATGAAAAGTAATTATAATTCTTGAGAATGACACTAAATCCTCAAGATGGATGTTATCTCCAGTGGTCACTTAATATAATATGAAAAAGTTCTCCTAGTAGAAAGATCATAATAGCACTGACTGCTTCTGGGAAAGGTGCTATATCTAGGTGAAAGAAACTAAGGTGGTTGCTATATTTCTGTTCTCAATGATATCCAAAAAAGAAATGCTAACACCTGCTGATATTTTGCAGTTTCTGAATGGGTTCTGTAAATAGCACGCCTCCTGTCTAAGCAGGTTGGGTAGGTATCACTCCATAAAATAAATAAGACATTAAGTCTTATTTATTAGGGGCAGAAGAGACATAATTCTTTCTGGATATGGACTCACTCTCAAGTAGAAGGGAAATGCCAATGCAAAACTTACCAGTCAATAAATTACTATGTTTTCCCAGGTTCAGAGTGAATAAAGAAGTGAAGGTAGGCCAAGAGCGTTTGAAGAAAATCTATTCTCATGGAAAACAGGAGTCGGGAAATAGGATTCTCCTTAAGAATAGTCATGCAATTCCTATCAAAATACCAATGACATTCTTCACAGAAATAGAAAAAATAATCTTAAAATTTACGTGGAATCGCAAAAGACCCAGAATAGCCAAATCAACCCTGGGCAAAAAGAACAAAGACGGAAGCATCTCATTGCCTGACTGCAAATTATACTACAGAGCTATGGTAACCAAAATAGCATGATACTGGCATAAAAACAGGCACATAGGCAAATGGAACAGAACAGATAACCCAGAAATACATTTACACACTTACAGTTAACTCATTTTTGACAAAGGTACCAAGAACATACACCGGGGAAAGGACACTTTCATCAGTAAATGGTACTGAGACAACTGGATATCTATATGCAGAAGAATGAAACTATATTTCCATCTTTTACCATATATAAAAATCAATTCAAAATAATTAAAGACTTAAACCCAAGACCTGAAATTACTAAACTACTGGAAGAAAACATTGGGGAAACACTCCTGGACTTTGGTCTAGGCAAATATATCTTGAGTAATACCTCAAAAGCAGAGGTGGTCAAAGTAAAAATAGACAAATGGATCATATCAAGCAAAAAATTTTCTCCACACCAAAGGAAACCATCAACAAAGTGAAGAGAAAACCCACAGAATGGGATAAAATATTCATAAACTATCCATCTGAAAAAGGATTAATAAGATTAATATTCAGAATATATAAGAAGCTCAAATAACTTAATTGGAGAAAAAATAATAATCTGATTAAAAATTCGGCCAAAGAACTGCACAGAAATTTCTCAGAAGAAGACATACAAATGGCCAGAGGGTATATGAAAAAAGGCACAGCATCAGTAATTACCAGATAAATGCAATTTAAAACTACAGTGAGATTTGTCCTCCAATTAAAATGGCTTTTATCCAAAAGACAGGCAATATCAAATGCTAGCTCAGATGTGGAGAAAGGGTAACACTTGTACACTGTTGATGGGAATATAAATTGGTACAGCCACCTCGGAGAACAATATGGAAGGTCTGCAAAAAATGAAAAATAGAACAACCCTATTGTATTAGTTCATTCTCACATTGCTATAAGAACTTCCTGAGACTGGGTAATTTATAAAGGAAAGAGGTTTAATTTACTCACAGTTTTATATGGCTGGTGAGGACTCAGGAAACTTACAGTCATGGCATAAGATGATGGGGAGGCAAGCACCTTCTTCACAAGGCAGAGGGAGAGGGAATGACCACAGGAGGAACTACCAAACACTCATAAAACCATCAGATTTCATGAGTACTCACTCACTATTATGAGAACAGCATGAGGGAAACTGCCCCCATGACTCAATTACTTCCCCCGGTCTCTCCCTTGACACATGGGGACTATGGGGATTATGGGGATTATAATTCAAGATGAGATTTGGGTGTGGTCACAAAGTCTAACTATATCACCTATCATCCAGCAACCCTACTGCTAGATGTTTATCCAAAAGAAAGGAAATCAGTATGTCAAAGCAATATCTGAACCCTCATGTTTATTGCAGCACTATTCACAATAGCCAAGAAATCAAAGCAACCTAAGTGTCCATCAACAGATGAATGGTTAAAGAAAATGAGATAGATACATAAAATAGAATATTACTCAGCAATGAAAAGAATGAAATCCTGTTATTTGCAACACCATAGATGGAACTGGAGGACATTATGTTAAGTGAAATAAGCCAGGCACAAAAAGACAAATAGTGCATGTTCTCACTAAAATGTAGGAGCTAAAAAATAAAATTGAACTCATTTATATAGACAGTAGAATGATGATTACCAGAGACTGGGAAGGGTAGTGGGGAGGGAGGGATAAAGAGGGGATGGTTAAAAAGTAGAAATACACAATTAGATAGAAGGAATAATATCTAATATTTGGTAGCAAAATAGGACAACTATAGTTAACAATAATTTATAGTATATTTCAAAATAACTAAAAGAATAGATTTAGAATGTTTCTAACAAAAAGAAATGATAAATGTTTGAGGTGATGGATATGTTAATTACCCTGATTTGATCATTGCACATTGTATGCTTGTATCAAAATATCAGATGTGACCCCAAAATATGTAAAACTATTCTGTATCCATAATAATTAAAAATAGTTTTTTAAAAAGGAGAATTGTCAATATTTGAGACTCTTAAAAATTAAATTCTAACAATTCCTAATGAAAAGTCACTTTCTACCAAACTTCAACACCTGTTGAAACATTTGGTTTTAGATGGTATGTTGAAAATATGGTAAATTTAGTCTATTATCCAACAAGTCATAAGACATATATTGAAAAGTGAACTAATACATACACAGATATATTTGAAAACAATAAGGGGAACGCTTGCTTAAGAGTTAACAGATTAATATGTACCTAAAAAAGGAAAGCAGCTATGAAGAACTAGCAATGAAAGAGTATAACCATAGGCAAAGGCCTTCCCCAAACAGGCATATAACAAAATCTGAGAAGTTTAAAAGAGATATTTATCACAAAAGGTGACAGTGTAATAAAGTATCAGTTAACCTTTCAGGAAGGCCAACACTGTGAGAGAGTGATAAAAATCCCCCAAAATGAAAGAATTAACATACACAGCAGGGTATTAATAGAACAATTAGAAGAAACTTCAGAGAAGTATGCTTCATATAGTCAGAGAGATAGAGAAGTAAATCATTTTCATAAAACAAGATGAATTAATCATGAAAAAATAGGAATATACATGTATATCTATAAATGTATAATATAAAATTACTGAAATAATATTCAATAAATAATAAAATATTTCAACTTTAAATGAAGTCATGAGACAAAAACAATGGAAGGTGAAATATTAAAGAAAAATAAAAATACATGTAAGAGATTACTGAAAGGTCCAAACCTTAAAATTTCAGAGGACAGAAAGTAAAGAAGGAAAAGGAAATATTTAAGTCAATAATGGCCAAGAACTTCCCAGAACTAAAGAAATACACATGTTGTGAGGTTTGTAGCAAAAAATTTACACTACATGTATGAGAACTCTCTAGAAGAAAACTAAGCTTAAAATGGTAAGCGTCGAGAAGAAGCAAACACAAATTCTCTTCAGGGAACTAAACTTCAAATATAGGGCTTAAAGAATTCTCATAGTAAAATTCCAAGGAATATGATACCAATATAAAAATCACAGAACATTTTAAGAAACAAATCACTATCAGTAAGTCAACAAGGCAAGAAACCACTGAATCAGATCTGGAAAAATATGTCAATATTAAAATAATCAGATTCAAAACACAAAATAAGCAAACAACATGTTTCAAAATTAAGAAGTGAAATGGAAACATGAAGAGATTATCAAAAATACTAAGGCAGTTTTAAAAACATATGAATGGAATATAAGAAGTTGAAAAAATTGTAATTTGACTTAGAAGTTCAATAGATGGCATCAAATTAGACACCATTAAAGAAAGAATAAGAGAACTGGGTGATAGACCAGAAGGAATTACCCTAAAGTCATTAAAGAGAGCTAAAGATATGGAAAATGAGAAAAAGAGCGAAGAGTCATGGAAGACAGAGTAAGGTCTTGCATCTGCTTAGTTTCAGAAGGAGAGGAAAGATAAAGAATGAGGCAGAACTTTGGGAAACAGTTTGTAAGTTCCTCAAAATGTTAAACATAGATTTATTATATCACCCAGCAATTACATTCCTAGATATCTATCCAAGAGAAATGAAAACATGTGCATACACAAATATTCATACAGGCATTATTTATAAGAGCCAAATAGACAACCCAAATGTCCATCAACAAACAGGGCAATTAATAAGCAAAATATGGTATATGCATATGATGAAATTTCATCTGACAATGAAGTACTGACATATACTACAAGGATGCACCTTGTAAATATTATAGTAACTGAAAGAAGCCAGTCACAAAGGTCCATATATGGCATGATACCATTTATATGAAATTTCAGAATAGGCAAATCTGTGGAAACAGAAAGTAGATTTCTAGTTGCCAGGGTATAAAGAAGAATGTTGTGGGGAGAAGGCATAAAGATAATGGAGAGTGACTGCAAATGACAGGATCTCATTCTTTTTTTTAATGACTGAATAGTACTCCATTGTGTATATGGACCACATATTCTTTATCCATTTATCTGTTGATATGGGAAAACCTTATTTTGTAAAACAAAATTTTCTTCTGATCCATTTTTTCCCTGCATCCTAGGTGTCTGAGGGCAGATTCCTTTTGAGAGGCCTTAAATTGCAAGAGAAAGCAGTATTTTTCTTGGGGGCTTGTATTCTGGTTCAATTTCAGTCAGCAAGCTGTTTCCAGAGTCCACATCCAGAGCCTGCTCAAGTATAGTTGTCCAAAAGAGAAAATACATCAGACAGATTCTGGAACCTCTTCTTTGAAAAGGGGTCAGTCCTTGGATGAAGGATCATCTTTGATTTGCCTTGAGACAAGACAAATAATGGCCTCTTTTCTTCAATGCAGTTTGTAGGATAACTGTCTGGACTATAGTACCCAGTGGCACCTGGCTCTGCACATAGAATAACCTTGTACTGAAGATTCCTAAAACAGAATTAGGGACAATTTCAAGAAAATGCCACTGCATCTGTGCAACCCTTGTATCATGATCAGCAGGCTCCAGGCTTTAGCCTTCTGCACTATCACCTTACAATTAGCAAAGTAGCAAAGTGTCCTCTTTTTTAGAAAATATTCCCAAACCTTAAATCCTACCCAGGACACACTTCACAATTTTCTTTTTTTTTATTCCTTTTTGCCTTGAACGAACTGGGAATCAGGAACAAGGGTAAGTCCTCTTGTTAGATATTTGGACCTCAGAAAACACATCAACCACTTCCCACTTCCCTTTGGCTGTTCTGCCAAGGCCCTGAGCTGAGGAGGGCTTCAGACTTGCTTGGATCCTGCCCTTTTTGGGAGGCAATGGTTCAGTTCCAGAGACTTAGCAAAGTACAGACTAGGAAAGCTTAAGAGTCATTTGTATACAAAAAGTCCACCTTCAAGTCAGCTGACAACCTGGTATAACACATTGGCTTATAAAAGGCTTCTCAGTTCTCCTTGAAGAGGTCCTTCACTTCCCTTGTAAGTTGGATTCCTAGGTATTTTATTCTCTTTGAAGCAATTGTGAATGGGAGTTCACTCATGATTTGGCTCTCTGTCTGTTATTGGTGTATAAGAATGCTTGTGATTTTTGCACATTGATTTTTGTATCCTGAGACTTTGCTGAAGTTGCTTATCAGCTTAAGGAGATTTTGGGCTGAGACAATGGGGTTTTCTAGATATACAATCATGTCATCTGCACACAGGGACAATTTGACTTCCTCTTTTCATAATTGAATACCCTTTATTTCCTTCTCCTGCCTAATTGCCCTGGCCAGAACTTCCAACACTATGTTGAATAGGAGTGGTGAGAGAGGGCATCCCTGTCTTGTGCCAGTTTTCAAAGGGGATGCTTCCAGTTTTTGCCCATTCAGTATGATATTGGCTGTGGGTTTGTCATAGATAGCTCTTTATTATTTTGAGATATGTCCCATCAATACCTAATTTATTGAGAGTTTTTAGCATGAAGGGTTGTTGAATTTTGTCAAAGGCCTTATCTGCATCTATTGAGATAATCATGTGGTTTTTGTCTTTGGTTCTGTTTATATGCTGGATTACATTTATTGATTTGCATATATTGAACCAGCCTTGCATCCCAGGGATGAAGCCCACTTGATCATGGTGGATAAGCTTTTTGATGTGCTGCTGGATTCTGTTTGCCAGTATTTTATTGAGGATTTTTGCATCAATGTTCATCAAGGATATTGGTCTAAAATTCTCTTTTTTGGTTGTGTCTCTGCCCGGCTTTGGTATCAGGATGATGCTGGCCTCATAAAATGAGTTAGGGAGGATTCCCTCTTTTTCTATTGATTGGAATAGCTTCAGAAGAATTGGTACCAGTTCCTCCTTGTACCTCTGGTAGAATTCGGCTGTGAATCCATCTGGTCCTGGACTCTTTTTGGTTGGTAAGCTATTGATTATTGCCACAATTTCAGAGCCTGTTATTGGTCTACTCAGAGATTCAACTTCTTTCTGGTTTAGTCTTGGGAGGGTGTATGTGTCGAGGAATTTATCCATTTCTTCTAGATTTTCTAGTTTATTACCATAAAAACCCTAGAAGAAAACCTAGGCATTACGATTCAGGACATAGGCATGGGCAAGGACTTCATGTCTAAAACACCAAAAGCAATGGCAACAAAAGCCAAAATTGACAAATGGGATCTAATTAAACTAAACAGCTTCTGCACAGCAAAAGAAACTACCATCAGAGTGAACAGGAAACCCACAAAATGGGAGAAAATTTTCACAACCTACTTATCTGACAAAGGGCTAATATCCAGAATCTACAATGAATTCAAACAAATTTACAAGAAAAAAACAAACAATCCCATCAAAAAGTGGGCAACGGACATGAACAGACACTTCTCAAAAGAAGACATTTATGCAGCCAAAAAACACATGAAAAAATGCTCACCATCACTGGCCATCAGAGAAATGCAAATCAAAACCACAATGAGATACCATCTCACACCAGTTAGAATGGCAATCATTAAAAAGTCAGGAAACAACAGGTGCTGGAGAGGATGTGGAGAAATAGGAACACTTTACACTGTTGTTGGGAGTGTAAACTAGTTCAACCATTGTGGAATTCAGTGTGGCGATTCCTCAGGGATCTAGAACTAGAAATACCATTTGACCCAGCCATCCCATTACTGGGTATATACCCAAAGGACTATAAATCATGCTGCTATAAAGACACATGCACACGTATGTTTATTGTGGCACTATTCACAATACCAAAGACTTGGAACCAACCCAAATGTTCAACAATGATAGACTGGATTAAGAAAATGTGGCACATATACACCATGGAATACTATGCAGCCATAACAAATGATGAGTTCATGTCCTTTGTAGGGACATGGATGAAATTGGAAATCATCATTCTCAGTAAACTATCACAAGGACAAAAAACCAAACACCACATGTTCTCACTCATAGGTGGGAATTGAACAATGAGAACACATGGACACAGGAAGGGGAACACCACACTCTGAGGACTGTTGTGGAGGGGGGAGGGGGGAGGGATAGCATTAGGAGATATACCTTATGCTAAATGACGAGTTAATGGGTGCAGCTCACCAGCACGGCACATGTATACATATGTAACTAACCTGCACATTGTGCACATGTACCCTAAAACTTAAAGTATAATAATAATAAAATAAAATTAAAAAAAGATATACAGTAGTACTTTGCAGTTTACATTTTTTACACAAATGGTATAGTATTATGTATATCATTTGTATGTATTGTTACGTAACAATAAACTTTGGAATTCTATCTCAATTGATTAAAAAAAAAAAAAAAAGGCTTCTCAGGTCCAAGAGACATAGAATGAGGCAGGTAAGTCCCCCAAGGCACACTGACGACAGGACCTTTGAACTTGGTATTTGCACTGTCTGGTGTGCTCTAGGAAGCCATACAACCATCTTCCTAGACTTTTCTTAAATGACACTTTCTTATGGAGGCTACTCTACCACTCTTTTAAAAATTATAGTTCTCACCCCTATATTTTCTCCCTCCTTGACTTCTTTACTTTTCCTTATAGCATGAGAAATAATCATATAATACATTATTTATTTTGTATGTTATTTTATTTTGCATGTTTTCATATGTTTTACTTTGTATGTTTCAGTGTTTTCTTCCTACTAGAATCTACAACAGAATGTACGATTTACAAAGACAAGGGATTTTGTTTCTTTTGACCACGGCTGTATCCCCAGTTCCTGGCCCATGGGAGGGCTGTTAAATGAAATAAATGAACTCACAGTTTCTTAATTCTTTTTGTAAGGGGGATGGTTCTTCAACCGTGCTTTTCTTAGGTCTTTGATCCATTAATATCCCTTCTCTCTTTTACCTCTCTAATCTTTCCTTGACTTTCTCATCCCAGTCCACTGACAAACATACTTAACTACCCACTCCTTCCTTCAACCCTAACTCTTCCTCCTACTCACTTCTCAAATTTCATTCTCTGCCAAAATTCATGAACATGCATGCTGCATTTTCTGCTTCCACTCTTTGGTTCCATTTATCCCACCACTCATTGTAGTCTCTTTCTTCCATCCAATCATTTTATTTAGTTCTCATATTGCTGATACTTCTGCAACTTTTTACTGTGCTGATTATTTTTGTTTTATTTTAATTGTCCTCCCTGGGACTTGTGACATTTCTCCTCATTCTTACCTCTGTGTAAATTCTTTCTTCTTTTCTCTGATTGGTTTCTGTTCTTCTGACTGCCCCTTAAATTTGTTTTTCTCCAAGATGCCATCTGCAATTCTTTTATCTGTTTACTCTAAAAATTATATTTAGTGATGTCAACAGACACTTAGCTTTAATCATCAACTGCAATATACAATTCTTGAGTTTAAGTCCACTGCCTGGAGCTTTTTTTCTAAATTCTAATATTATATTTCTAACCAGTGTGCTGGTTAGAATCCAGTCGAAGAAGAAGAGTGTGGCACAGAGGACAAACTCATATACTGACCACTTCATTACAAAGTGATTAGTGCCATTGTAAAATGAAAGCAGGCTGCAATGGGTTCTTCCACTTATTAGCTATGAGACTTAGAAAAGTAATGTGAGCTCTCTCTGTCTCCTTTGTAAAATGAGAATAATAGTTGTATCTACCGGATGTGGCTGTTGACAGAATTAGAAGAAATAACCCAAGTATAGAATGTAGAACCATACCTAGAACTAAATGTTTAACAAGTGCTCACTACTGCTATTATTATTGTTGTTTTAAGTTTGTAGTACATGGGCAAGGCCTAGAGATCATTTAGGGGTTTAAGACAAGATGTTTTGTAAGACATTATCTGTATGCTGAATTCCAATGGATGAGGAGGAGATGAACCAGTTAAAGAAGAGTAGGAAAGACATTTCAAGCACATAAATAATGACACATAATACATTATGTAATGTGTCATTATTTATGTATTTATGCGCTTGAAGCAACATAAATAATGACACATATGATAGAAGCATATGCTATGTGAGAGAACAAGCTGATAGTAGATATTTCTAGAGCATAAATTTCAAGGTGCAGAATGTTCAGAGGTAAAATTAGAAAATTAAAAAGAGGCCAGGTCATGGAATACCATACTAAGGAATGTGGTTGTAGTCTACAGGTAGTCAAAAATTTAAATTTTAAACATGGAAATAATTAAATAACCTTTTAAATTCTAGATAGAATTACACTGGAAGCGATTTATAGCATGTCATAAAAATAAAAAAGTATAGTGAAAAAACTGAAAAAAAAATTATATCCATAATCTCACATGAGACATCTCTTAGGAGCTCCCCAAAATAGTGGTAGTTCGAGGGATGATGGAGATGCTATACTCATTGTCTGGAGCAGAGTCTGGAAAATATTGATTGTGATAGTCCACATGGCTGGATCAAACGCAGGTCACAGAATTAAGTCTAATGTGCCAAACAATAGTAGGTACGATCGTAGAAGCATAAGTAAAGAAAAATGGAGACAAAAAGACAGAATTAATTTAGAGAGGCGGGAACAAACATCATGAAGGCGTGTAATTCCAAGTGATACACAAGAAACATACATATGGAATATGGAGGAGTTATATAAATAGAAGTTTAAAGCACATCTTGGGAGTAGATTGCAAAAGGCATTAAGTATTTGGTCAGCAATGTTTAGTTTTCTTCTATAAAAGTTCAGAAATTATTTTATCATATTTATTAGTTTCTGAATGTGTTTTACTTATTGTCATGAAAAAATGAAATTTAAAAAATGGAACTGCCATGGAGATACACAAAATTAGATGGAGGTCAATTTATTTAATTCATTTCTACATTTTATGATTATATGTATTAGGTAGTAGATTTAAAATCTTCACTTCAGGAAATAGGAGGAAGAGAATACAGATCACATGAGAACTGAGGTCTTCACATTAAAATGTGTTTTACAATACATTCATTACATTTGTAACTGACCCATATAACGGATTGAACATGTTTATTGCAGTTATTAATTCGGAATGTCTACAGCATCAGGGTGGAGTAAGATGTCAGAATAATTTTGTGAAGTCTATATTCTGATTAAGAATATGAGTGCTGATTTGTTCATTCATTCAAAGTAATCACAGTCATCTTATGTTTATATGCCATATTAAATCATGAGAGTCCAGAGCATTTGGTAAACTGAAATTATTCTAGTGTTCAGCTATAACAATAATAGTACAATGTGAAATCAGATAACACAAACTACAGGAATCTGCCAAAATTTGAAATATGCCCATATTACGATACATGTTTTAAAATAAGTCCTGTGAGTTCAAATTAATAATCTTGTTTATATACAGAATAGCATCTTAGAATCACAGCATCTTAATAAAGTAGGAAGAGACCTTGACGATCACCTTTTCCAACCATTTCATTTTACAGATGAGGAAACTAATTTCTACGGTTTTGATTTCTTGCTGGTTCTTACTAAATTACATCATTACCTTCATGCTATTGCTTGCAAAAGTAGTATCATATTATTTACTGAATATGAATATGAAAAGTATGTATCACCACTACCACCCAATTCAGAAATTTAAATCCTAAGAGTTCCATGTATAAACTCCTCAAGATGGTGTCCAGTTCATTGTCAGAAAGCTCTCCTAACTGGGAGCCAGAAATGGTTAAGGTAAGGAGTGACGTTAGTGTGTAAAATGGAATGTTCTTCCCCAAACCCCATGCCCGATTCCCATGTTTTCTTCCTAAAGGTACAAACCTGTCTGCCACTGTTTAATCTAGAAAAAGAGCTGATGGCAAGTCTTTGTTATCATTTGGAGGGTCCAGATAAATAGATAATGCCTATAGATTGTCCAGACATTTAAACTGGGGGGTAATTTTTAGCACCTACTTGCATTTGTTGTATTAAAACTCTGCTGTGTTAATAGCAGTCCCTGAAGTTCTGAGAACTATCCAACTACACTGGCTAATTTAAACAACATCCTCCCCCTACATCCCACCATACTGCTTTTTTTCATTGAAAGTATTTATTCAAACTACTCTATGAGCTTCTGGCTATGTTTTGGATTCTATCTTCTCTTGACCACTTTATTTGCACTTCTTGACCCTTTCTATTCTAAAAGTCCCAGTCTACCAGTCCTCTCTTTTCTTGACCCTCCCAGAACTCAGAGATCTAGACTTTCTGTAAACTCGAGTATTTTTTAATCTCCATCTCATTTAATTTTATATGATCATAACTTTTCTTAAACTAGATTAAAAGCTTCTATAGGGCAAAAACCTGTATGTATTTCATATCCCTTGATACCTATCAGCATGCTAAGAATATTGTAGGTCCTCAATAAATGTTGGTGTTAAACCATGAAATTTTGTTTATACTGCTTAGCTAAAGTCTGTCTATACAGTGATATATTCTGAAAAATCAATATTTTATTAATTCAATACTCCATGGTATAGAAATGACTATAGGGGATTAATTTGACTAAAATAAAAGTTTTATATTATTCTTTAATGTTTTTCTGTTTCAGAGGTAAAGCCATAGATTCACAATGGCCAAAACTCATTCAAAAGGAGCTATCTTAAAAATAACATTAAAGGAAAATGTTTTCTATTCTAAAAAATCTGCATGTATTTCATGAATGAAGAACCATTTTCTTAATTATACCGATGAGACTGAAGAGAGATAGTGAGGTGTAATGTCATTAGCATGGGCTCACTAGATAGACAAGGGGTCAGGTTGCAGCTCACTTATTTATCAGCAGTGTGACTTTGGAAACATTATTTACCTTGCTGAGTCGGTGTCCTTATGTATAAAATGGTGACAATAATATGTCTCTCATTTTATCTAAGAAACTTTAATGGAATAACGAATGTAAATACTTAGTTGGCAGTACCTGCCACAACAAAACTTAGATCAAATTTTTAGCCATGTGTGCTGAATACGGGAGTTTTTAACATCACTACATTGATTAGATCTATATCAGACACACATACACTGATTGTCTCTTGCACGTATTGACATGCATGGAAAAGAGAACTTGCAGATAGAAAGGTTTGTTTAGTACCTCCATGGGCAGTGAGAGGAGGAAAAGAGTGATGGAGAGGTAAACATGACGTCTGTTCATTACAGTAGTAGCATCCAAATATGGCCATCAACCATTCTTCCCTTCCTAGATGCACATACCAGATACTCCTCACATTAAGAAGTGCAGTCTTTTTCCCTATCCTTTGAAATTAGCTGGCCTTGTGATCTGCTTTGATCAAAAGAACATGGTGAAAATGGCATTCTGGGCCTCCTAAGCCTAGTCTTTAAGAAGTATATCAGCTTCTGCAGTCTCCCTCTTGGAAAACTCCATCTTGGACACTAGCCACCATGTTGTGAGGAAGCCCATTCTAGAAGAGTGAATAAGTGGAGGTCACATTGAAAGAAGCCCTGGAGAATGAGTGACCCACCTTGGATATTCCAGTTCCAGCTGTGCATCCAGCTGAATGAACTCACATAAGTGATCCCAGCCAACATCATATGGAGCAAAAGAACTGTCCATTAAGGCATTTGCCATGCCTTAATTTCTGACCCACAGAATATTAAGAAATGATAAATAGTTGTTATTTCAAGCCACTAAATTTGTGGATGCCTTTTTACATGTCAATTGGTATTCAAAAAACTCCCCACACTTCAAAATTATATCCAACCTCTATTTTAAAAAGGAGATTTGTTATCCATCTAAGCAGAACTCAGGCTTTCTCGAGTTCAGTGAGGCCTTGAGGGTATGCTGTATGTTGTACAATGTGGGAGGATTTACAGCCTTGGGGGCCCTCGGGCATTGTACCCTGATAGGAGCATACTCCAGAGGCAAGGACAGCAGCGGGAGAAGAAAAGGGCCTCCCTGGGATGACCTTCCAGGAGACAACTGCTACAAGAAAGCCTATGTACAGTTAAAAGAGCACAACTGTCCCTGATCACATGGAAGCCTTCTCCAGGTGCTGCCACAAACAATGGGAAGGGGTCTTGGAGCAGAGGTTGGGATCTCTGACAAGTGCAGTGACAAGCTAGTAAGTGTTGTAAATATGATCTTGCAATGAATCAACCTGCAAAAAATGAGAAACCAAGTTCCAAAGGAGCAACTCTAATTGATTCAGCTTAGAATAGGCCCCCACCTTTGGACCAATTAAAAATAGGGGGATTTTACTGTATGAATATGGCTACTACTAGCTAGGCCATGGTACTACAGGGATGGGAGGAGTCGGGGGGAGTACATAACTGTTACTAGTTCCATTGTGTGTATCTATTAGAGCTTATTTTCTGAATTGCAATGATGTATTAACTTAACTTTTATTGAAGATTGGGATTGTCTCTACATCCCTAGAGCATGGGAAGCCCCCAGTACTGAGCCATTCAATAAACATTAGTTCTGTTTTTCCCTCACTTAACTGGTACATTCCATACCTGTCATTGCTCCTGTTTCTAGCAGTATTGCCATGTGATGTGGAATATTGGTGATAGTGAGTGAGGTGTATTTAGCACTTGAACTCTTTTCAAAGTACTTTCACATAGGTATAGAATTTATCTCTATGCAGTGATGTAGGCAATACCATTTTTCTTTCTTTTTTGAGATGGAATTTCACTCTTAACACCTAGACTGGAGTGCAGCGGCACTATCTCGGTTTACTGCAACTTCCACCTCCTGGGTTCAAGTGATTCTCCTGCCTCAGCCTCCCAAGTAGCTGGAATTACAGGTACCTGACACCACACCAGGCTATTTTTTTTTTTTTTTGTATTTTTAGTAGAGATGAGGTTTCACCATGTTGGACAGGCTGGTCTCGAACTCCTGACCTCAGGTGATCTGCCTCCCTCAGCCTCCCAAAGTGCTGGGATTACAGGTGCGAGCCACCGTGCCTGGGTAAGCAATATAATTTTAACCTCTAAGCAGAAAAAGAAGATTCAGAGAGTTTGTATATCTTGTATATGGATTTTCTGAAGGTCAGAGGAAGCTGGATCACTGTGTAACATCCAGTGCAAGAAGTCAGGAGTACTGGGTAAGGCACGATCCAAGACAGAATCACACATAAAGGTAGCTCAGCTTGGCTCTGGCAAGTTTCTGAGATGTAAGGTGAGGTGAATAATCAGCAGATTCTGTGATTCTGAGACTGAGAAGCAGAACTGGGCCACATGCACCATGCTGGTTGCTTTGAGTGGATGAAGAATTTTGTTATTAGCAGGGCTGCCCCACCTAAAACAGTTCCCAGCTGGAGTTTTCAAGAGAGGAATGTACAGCTACTTAAGGAAGTCTGACAGTATGGTAAGGCCATGACAGTGTTTGAGACTCAGAACGCCCTAAACTCTGGGCAGTTCTTTCAATCCTCATGATCTGTACTTATCCCAATTCACGCCATCTCACCACAACTGCAGATGTGCTTTGCCTCTTAGTCCAGGCTGACGTTTTTTAACTGTAAAACCCTGGGCCACTTTCTTAAACCTTCTGACACCTAGCTTCTTCCTTTGTAGAATGAGATCATGCTGTCTTTCTCAAAAGTGGAACAGTGGCTAAAACAACATGTAAAGCATTGATCCTAGTGCCTGGTAAGAGGAAGCCTTCCTATACTTTACTTCCCCAGCCTCTTCAGTGGCAGTAGTAAAAGATTTCAAATCCTTCCTGGTCTTATTACTTTATTAATAATGGAAAACTTCTAACTTGAGAACAATTTTTCTTCCCCTGAAGACTCTAGGCCTCTTGGAATATTTATTTTAGAATGAAGCTGTTGCAGCAACACATCACACCACATCTTAACTTGGGAAAGTTCCTTAACCTTTTTAAGCCACAGTGTTTGCATCTTTAAAATGGGTAAAATAATGACACCTCCTTCCTAGAGTTGTAATGATTCATTGTACACTTAGCATTGACGTAAATGTAAAGCACTTAGCACAGTGCCCATTGCATAGCAAGTACGCAATAACTGTTGACTAGTGTTATGATTATCTAAGCCTCAGTTTACTCACCTAGAGATTGGGTATTGGAATGTTTACTTTGAAGGGTATTTTGAGAATTAAAATGGAGATTGTTTATAGAAATATGTATAGATTAATAACCGGTACATTGTAAGCACACATCCAAAGATTATTCATCTCTTCTTCTTATAAAATAGTTATAATATTATTCATCTCTTCTTCTCATAAAATAGCTTATTAAAATAGGTGCCCAAACAAATGCAAATCTTTACTGTTCATAAGTACCAGTATTTATTTCCAATGGAAGAGAATTCCTGTTACCTAGGAATTAGGAGATAAGAATCTTTGGTTTTGTGGAGAAGGGGCAGGTTATCTAAGGAAAGGTAAGGTGATTTAAGGGTTTTAATATGCAAGGTCATATTCTCAACTGTGAAAAGAAACTTAAAATTACTATCTGTGAATCAATATGTATTAGGCTTTAAGGTGACACTATAAAACAACTGTCATAGGCTCTGATATCCCAGCCATACCCATGCAAGTGCACATCAACAAGCCAATTTACACCATGTGGTTGTAATCTTGTTCCATTTCCCTACATTTCTGAGAAGAAAGGAATTATTAATTGTTGTTTACTATGACACTTCACTATATAAGTGAGCTAGGCTACACTATAAATTCTGACCTGTGTTCAAAGATTGGCAAAAACAACTTGGCTTAAGGTGCTTTCTATTTGATTTTCTACCAAATCAGCAACATAAAAACTATACAAATGATAGAAATCAATGAGAAAACAAACCTCTTGATCCTTTCCAGAAGTTAGATGATCAACCATGTGGATGCAGGAGCTTATTTCTCTCCATCAAGCTAGAAAATGGGCTTGTCAATATTCAAAGGTCTAACTTTGTTATATGCATCAATTTTTGCTATGCCACAGTTACATGCTTTAGTGTTCTTATTGCTTCATCAAGATTACAAAAATACTTGGCCATGCATGGCCTGCCAAAATATGTGATTATCCAGTTTGTAGCACAACAACTTGTATTAGACTTTGATTGTTAGCCTGTAATCATTTTTGAGTAGTTACTCACCTTTATATAAAGAATTGCAGAATAAGTATTGTTCTTGTTATGAATCTTCTACACAGAAAGTACCCAAGAGGTAAAATATTGGCATCTAAAATTAAAGGAATAAAAAATGCATAAGCTGTTTAATGTATAGATAAAAGGAGAATTCAATGTTTTCTTCATAAGGAATTCATTTTCTAAGAAATAGCTTTAATTAAAAATCTCTGATAAATAAAACAGAATTTTAAAGCATTTTTGACAAAAGATTTAATAATTTAAAGACATTCGCTTCTTTTCATTTGAAATAATGTAAAAATGTAAATCTCATTTACTTAAATGTGATAACGTAGCCCTATACAATTGTCTTTAAAATGAATAAAATCCCCATGGTTATTTTATCGAACAAGACTAGGGACTTTACAGCAAAGAGAAATGAAATCTAAAGTACTGTGAAATAAAATCTGGTATATGATTGAAAGATAAATTTGTAAGAACATCTTCTAATGCTAATGAAGTATAATTTAGAAAAAAATTCTATAATCTTAGAAATTCTTTAACTTTTGTGCAGATAGATGGAGAGGACTACTAAAAATGCAAAACCTTGAATCAAGAGGTGAAATTTAAGAAAAACTAAGAGCAATTCAAAGAAATTAAAAAGGAAATGTTTACTTTGGAAGAAATAGCTATTCTGAAGCTGGCCTCCTGATAGGCGGTGAAGTTTTGCAAATGCGTTTTTTTATATTCCCATTCAAACCTTTTTACTCCATAGTTAATGAGCTAGGCAAATGTTTAATCCTTGCCTCATTCTGTGGTCAAAGGGAAATTTGCAGTTCATATGTATCAGTTTGTTACATACTCCAAGCTGTCGTTTGTTCTTAGAAATAGGGAAAGAGAAGAAAGAACATTAGCTCTTTCTTCCTATTGCCAGAATTTTTTCTTTTACTGTACCTGATTTTGTCTTATACAGAGAAAATACTCTGGTAGTTCAGAAAGAGGATGGGACAATAGGAAATGTTCAAAATGACTAAGGATAACATCTACCAGCATTTTTGTCATGCACCTTAATCTGATAACATCAAGGAATTTTCAAGAAATAGTTCTGGCTCCCAGAGCTGCTTAATTATATTGTAAGAGCTTTCTTCAACAACAAGGATGAGTATGGATAATAATAATAATAACGATAATAGCCTATACCAAAAATTGGTCTATAAATAAATACTTATTGCTTATCAATTCTCACACCAATAATCTGAATTTCTACTGAAATGCCATTTACTGTATTCAAAATGTGTCACAAAATAATAAAACATTAATTATTATATATTGAATGTTTATTTATTAGGAAACCCTTGTTGATGTAGGACAACATCATTTAGTCATTATGTTTTGTTTTGTCCTTAAAGAATCTGCAGAAAACAACAGATGAAAACAAGATTTTTAAAAAAAATTCTCCACAACTCTTTTATTCATTAGGTACATAAGGAATAACTCCTGAGAATGGAGTAAGTAGTACATTAGTTGTATAAACAAAATTCTATTCTTAAATTGATTTCAAAATAGCCCAGGAAAACTGACCCAATGCTCTTGGATAGTCTTAGCTCAGAGGAAATCTTCTACATGAGATGTAGAATCTCACAGGGCTTCCCTACCACCCTTTCTTATTATCAGATTACTTCAGTGCTTCATACTCTTTTCTTCAGTGTAGACAAAGCCTTGGGAAATTGGCATTTCACCATCACCTTTTGTCTTGTGGAAGTAAAAAAGGTATAAATAAAATAAATTGGCTTCATTTGATTAATTTTCATATTGGCACAAATATCTTCCTCTGAGCAGCTGAAAACATTTCCCTCTGCAGTTTGAAAATGTGCTTTATAAAAATTCACCTTCCCTTTTGGATAAGGTTCCAAAATGTTTAAGAGCAAAAACAACAGTGGCAGCAGCATTCTCACCACCATGTTAACTATTTATGCATGTGTGCACAGATAACCACATATGAATATATAGGATATTGGATAATCATCATGCAAATAACCATGATTCCAAAGAGTCTCAGAAGGCAGTATTCAAATTGTTTTTATAGTTATAGGCTGAATTTTCTGTGTTCTACTCCCATATCTAGCTAATAGTGATTTGAGTTCTTGACATGAAGTCTTAAAATATGTCTCTCAGACACCCTTGCCATGACCATTAAGCATTAGAAGTCAATAAATCAAGAAATATAAGTTACAATGTACGAGAAATTAATTTTTTTAGTGGTGCTGCCTCAAGAGCCACTGATAGGTATTGTGGGGAAAAGGGGAGTCTGAGTTCTCAGTCCTCCATACTTCACCCAGAGCAGCCATACATATATTTGCTCTGTGAATTGGGGTCATACACAAGATTTCATTTGCTTTAAACAAGTGGTTAGCTGCTCAAGAAATATTTGAATAACATTTGTTTTTAAAAGTTAGTTTTCAAAGAGAAAATATGGTTCAAAGAGGTGAAGTGATTGACCCAAAATGACACAGCTAGTTAGAAACAAACTCTCTTGCTTATGTTTATCCCACTCCAACCTTAGTGTTTTTACAGAGATGACTCTGCATACCTTCAATTGTTTCCAAATCCTTCTCTAATGGTTCCCCAGTGTTGTCTAATATGCTTCAAAGCTCAGCTTAAATTATCTTTTTATGATGGAGACTTCTAGTGCTCATACATATCCAATTCTCCTCTTCTGAGCTTATAGGTGGGTCAAACATTCTCACTCGTTTGCAGTTAGGTTCAGCCATATAATAGCACAATGCATTGTGAGTTGAAGTTATGTGAGTTACTTCACTGCTAAACCACTGAAGCCAATTTGAGACCCTCTGGTAGGGTCTAAGATTTCATCACCTGAGTATAGCACAGAAATAAGAAAAGATGCATTGAAGAAGATAGAAAGGATAATTTCACTTTAGGAATGTCACCGCTTTCCCAAGTCCACACAGTGCAACTGGGGGAGAGACAGCCTCAATATATTAAAAGGAAAGTAAAATGAACACCTGACTGCATGAACCTCAACACCAGGCCATCCTCTGTGAACCCCAGCACCAGGCCAACTCCTGCAGACTTGGGCTTCAGACCAGCCCCAGTGTACCTGGACTGCAGACTGGACTTGACAAACCCAGGCTTTAGACCCACCCCTGTGTCTGGCCAGCCCCTGAAGCACCAGATTCCAGGCTGGTCCCCAAGTCTCCAGGCCCCACGCTCCATACAAGGGAACCACTATAGCATTATCGGTGAATTTCTCAGCAGAAATCTTACAGGCTAGGAGAGAGTGAGATGATATATACCAAACTGCTGAAAGGAAAGAAAATGTTTGCAACCAAGAATACTACACTTAACAAAGCTATCCTTCAGAAAGAATACTCAAATAAACAAAATCAGAAATGAAAGAGGAGATACTACAATTGGTGCCACAGAAATACAAATAATCATTAAAAACTACTATGAACAAGTATATGCCAAAGATTGGATAACATAAATTAATAAATTCCTAGAAACATATGACGTATCAAGACCGAATCATGAAGAAATAGAAAACCTGAACACACCAAAAATGAAGAAAGAGATTGAATCAATAATAAAGTTCCCTATCAAAGAAAAGCCCAGCACCTGATGGCATCTTAGCTGAATTCTATCAAATATTTAAAGAACCAATCCTTCTCATACTCTTCCAAAAACTTGGAGAAGCATTAACACTTCTAAGTTCATTTTAGGAGGCCAGCATTAGCCTGATGCCAAAGCCAGGCAAAAACTCCAGAAGACTACAGACCAATTTCCCTAATGAACATAGCTATAAAAATCCTTAAAAAAAACCCCAGCAAACTGAATTCAAAGGATCTTTCACCATAATCAGGTGGGATTTATCCCTAGGATACAAGGATGGTTCAACATATGCAAATAAATAAATGTCATACATCATATTAACAAAATGAAGGACAAAACCCACATGGAAAAGAAGAATTTAACAAAATCCAATATCCTTTTGTGACAATAGCTGTCAACAAATTAGCAAATTAGCAAGAGAAGAAATTTACATAAATACCATAAAGCCCATATATGATGAGCCATGGTTAACATTACACTCAAATTAAAAATTTAAAAGCTTTTATTCTAAGATCTGAAACAAGACAAGGAGGTCCACTGTTCAACGTAGTACTGGTTGTCCTAGCCAGAGCAAATAGGAAAGAAAAAGACATAAAAGGCTACCAAATAGAAAGGAAGAAGTGAAATTGTCTCTGCTGACAACATGATCTTATACACAGAAAATCTTAAAGACTCCACCAAAATTACTATTAGAACTGATAATAGAATTCAGTAAAGTTGCAGGGTAAAAAAATCAACCTACAAAAATCAGTAGCATTTCTACAAACCAACAATTAACTATTTAAAAAAAAAGAAAATAATCCCATTTACAATAATATCAAAAAAATTAAAATACTTGAGTGAATTTAACCAAGGAAGTAAAGGATGTGTATACCAAAAACTAGAAGACATTGATAAAAGAAAGGGAAGAAGACACAAATAAATGGAAAAATATTCTGTATTAATTGTTTAGAAGAATTAATATTGTTTAAATATCCATATTACCCAAAGTTATCTGCAGATTCAGTATAATTCCTATAAAAATTCCAGTAGCATTTTTCACGGAAATAGAAAAACAATTCTAAAATGTGTACGGAACAACAAAAGAACCTGAATAGACAAATAATCTTGAACAAAAAAAAGAGAGCCAGAGGCATCACACTACCTGACTTCAAAATATATTACAAAGATGT
Source organism: Homo sapiens (assembly GCF_000001405.40). NCBI lineage: Eukaryota > Metazoa > Chordata > Mammalia > Primates > Hominidae > Homo > Homo sapiens. The sequence continues at coordinate 78,269,565 of NC_000013.11, read as the reverse complement.
AGTTATTAAAACAGCATGATGCTGGCATAAAAACAGGCACATTGACCAATGGAACAAGACAGAAATTCCAGAAATAAACCCACCCATTTATAGTCATTTGGTTTTCGACAAAGGTGCCAAGAGCACAAAATGAGAAAAAGGACAATCTCTTAAATAAATAATGTTGGTAAAATTGGATATCCGTATGCAGAAGAATGATACTGTATCTTTATCTCACAACATATGCAAAAATCAACTCAAAATGGATTAAGCTCTTAAATATTAGACCTGAAACTGTAAAATCACTGGAAGAAAACACAGGGGTAAATCTCTACAATGTACACATATACCTTATATGTACACAGTTTTTATTTTTCAATTATACCTAAATAAAGCTGGAGAAATAAAAGAAAATATGCAGCACCATTTATGCAGTTTTCTTGCCCCCAAATTAAACCAAATCTAATCCATCCCCTAAATCTAAAACCAATTATCACACAAATTCTGGGGCTAGAGCAGCAACCTTGTGAAGATGCAATTAGGCAAATTCTGAATGTGGGTAATTACACAAAGCAAATAACCCAGCTATTTCTACAAATTTATAGCATGAAAAAAATGGAGATAAGGGGAATTATAATAGTTTAAAAGAAAGTTAAGTGACAATACCAAACAAATGCAAACCTTGTTAGGATTCAAATTTAACAAAGTAACTATAGAAAGGCATCTTTGAGAAATTTGAACATAAACTGAACATTAATTTTTTTAAACTTTTGTTAGGTATAACAATAATATTGAGGCTGTATTTAAAAAAGAATATCTTTTGGACTTGCACATTGAAGTATTTATGGGTGAATATAGGGGTTTTAATTAAAACACTTTAGCAAAAATAGAGAAATGAATGAAACATGATTAACAAAATATTGACAACTGTTGGAGCTGTATGATAAATATAGGGAGGTTAATTATATTATTATTTATACACATTTATAATATCTAAAATTTTACATAATAAAATTTAAAAATAAATAAAAGTGAAGGCAGGGAACTGCTTCGGAGACCATGCCTTCTTAATTAACATGGATCCACATTCCTTTTGGATTTTTATTGTTTAAGGGATGAAAGTTATTTTTTGTTTTATTGTTTAAGTCAACAGATAAAATTCATGTATTTATCAGGTACAACATGATGTCTTCAAGTATGTATACACTGTGGAATGATTAAATCTAGCTAATTAACAAATTAACTACCTAAATTTTTAAAGACTCCAATATTATATATTCAGGATTTGGATTTTTCTTGTGTCTGTATCTTCTCTTCTGACTTCTGAGATCTGAGATAGGCCCATGCCCATGGGCTACTTGTCTAGATCCTTATTACCTGTTGTCTTTTTTTTTTTTTTTCATACGGAGTTTCGCTCTGTCGCCCAGGGTGGAGTGCAATGGTGAGATCTTGGCTCACTGCAACCTCCGCCTCCCAGGTTCAAGCAATTCTCCTGCCTCAGCCTCCCGAGTAGCTGGGATTACAGGTGTACACCACCACGCCTGGCTAAATTTTGTATTTTTAGTAGAGGGGGCGTTTCATCATGTTGGTCAGGCTGGTCTCGAACTCTTTACCTCGTGATCTGCCCGCTTTGGCCTCCCAAAGTGCTGGGATTACAGAATTAAGCTACCGAGCCCGGCCTACCCACTGGCTTTTTAAAGAACGTTTGGACTGCAGTCCATTGGGATTCCAACAATCTTACCTGATATCTTTGTATCCTGACACTGAGAGTGGGACCAGTTACATAATTTGTGGGATCCAGCGGAAAATACAAGTTCCCTTGTGAAAAATTATAAGAAGTTCTGGATATTGACAGCAGAGCATTGTATCAAGTGTAGATCATTTTGAGTGTGGGGCATTGTGTGCCTGCACAGATTGCACACCCATGAAGCCAGTTCTATCTGACAATTAGTAACAGATTATAGCTTGACGTGTTGGCAGAGCATTGCAGAGTATGTAGATCATTCAATTCTGCTTAGCACAGATAAAAGAGTAAATGAATGAATGTAATAGGCTCTTCATACACATATTAATTAATGAATTGAAACCTTGGCAAACCATTTTTTTCTGAAATCTATATGTATACTAGCACAAAATCCAAGAATTAGAAAAATGTATTTTCATAGTTGATTCTTCCATATGATAACAGAGAATCTATACAGTCAGAATATAATTTAGTCAGTGGTTCTGTGTACCTGACCAGAGGTCCATATCCAGCAAACATAATCGTGATGCCTTGTTTAAAATATTTATCTACCAGGCTCCAGGCCATTGACTCCTAGTCACTCGTAGCCTATTAGATCTGACTGTTCTTGGTTCATTTAGCTTCCTATCCCATAGATGAGTATGATCAGTGACCTTACCTGCTGATCGATATGGTCTAGTCAATACTGTAAACTCAGACTAAATACATGAGCAACTCCTCTGCCCTTGGGGAGGAGAGAGAGAACAATAATGAGAGGAAAGGTAAGCAGAAGAGTGGGAGTATTCCACATCTCTATACTAGATGCAATGATTGCAAATACAAATAAGACAGAGTCCCTGTCCTCAAGGAACTTTCCATTCATAGAAACAGACATATAAATAAATAGTTGCCAAAGTAATTCAAAGGCTAGGATGCACCACTCTAGTTTACTTTCCCAGTGGTCTTCACCTTTTTCCTTCCTGCACCTCCTTTTGCCACCTAGCCCCCTGTTCCACAGTCACTCCTCTATCATTGCTAACTTCCAACAAAAATTCTGGATTTTGTAAAAATAAAACTGATATCCTCACAGATCTGCTAAGGAGCTCTGTTGTAGTCATTGCTTAAGACATGAAGCCCAGACACAATTTCTTGTGGTAAGGAAATGGATATTAAAGGCTCAGCCAGACTTGCTCCTGGAAGAAAATAGCAGATTTCTGTCACTCAATTGTGGAAACAGACAGGTGAAGGCCTGATGTGGTCCCTGCATTTCTGTCAGCTTTGCTGCCTCCTTAGATGGGAAGTTCTTTGAAAACTCTGACCCACCCCAAAGTATCAGACCATCCAGCTCTCTGCTATGTGGCAACAGCCTCTCAGTAGATACTGAATAAAACACAAAAGATACTTGTGAAACTTGCAAGGCTTTGGGAAAAAAGCACTGTAAGATTGAAGCCTTCTAGAAAATCAATATTTTTATCTGAGATCACTGTTCATTGATATGCTTAAAGTATAACACAAGGTTTGAATCTGAGAACTACATTCATAGTTCTTATTTTTAATTACCATTTTATAAAATTCCTTTCCCTTGATTATTTCTCACCAATGATTTCTCGTTGGTCCTTTCTCTTGTGTAACTGTTCTCTAGCTACTAAAGACATTTATTAAAAGAAGAAGCAGTAGAGATCATTAGAAGGACAGGTATTTTAACTTTTTGCCTAAGTCTTAGATGTCATTTGGTTATTTCCTTCTCAGCCAGGCTTCACATTATAAGTTGACCTATTTTTCTGGAATGTCCTTGTAAAGGACACCATTCATTTCCCAAAGTACAGAGGGCCACTACTTTCTGAGAAACAGTTTTACTAGGTGCTAGAGTCACCTAATTGGATGAAATCACAGGGAGCTAAGACCTAAGTGCCATCTTTCATGCACACTGTTCATGCCAAGGGCAGAAAACAAGAATAAGAGAATGGAAGGAAAGAGAAGCACCATACCTAAAATATAGGCCGAGAATTTGGGGAGACTGCACAATCTTCTTCTATGACTGAATCCACATAACCCCATATAATCAAATTGAAACAACAATCTAAATTAAGCTTAAAAATAAGGAAGCATTTTCTCCTCCATGGTTCTATACTAAGTGGTAAAGTAGAGATGTCATAATTATTGGTAAATTGGTTCTCTCTAGACTAGCAAATTGAACTGTCAGGGGATAGGGTAGTTTCTGAATTATCTGGACTGCTTACCCACACTAATCATGAATATTTATGAAACCTGAACCTCACTTTGTGCTCTGTAAACACAGCTTGAATTATTCAGATTGTTTGTCTATACTGTAATAAATGGAAAATTCTCCTTGTACCTTATTTTTAGTATTAAAAATAGGCACTATAATGTTTTGGGTAAAAGGACAAAATAAGACAAAGGCATTTGCCTCCCCTTATTATGGTACCCCATTAGCCATGCTTGTATCTGTGAAATGATTTGTTTATGTTAAACATATATTTTGAGTGTGATGGTTCAACAGTGTTTAACCTATGGCTATGCTTCAAATTAGTTAAGCCTTTAAAACATTCCAGTGATTGTGTAATTCAATCAGATAGCCTAGCAGGAGATTAATTGGAAACATATGTGACACAGTGGCATCAAGAGCCCCTGCCATAAAAGAAGAAGAAAGGATTTGCTTTGTGATGCTCCGAAAATGCTTGCCCAGGGCAATGGTCAGTGCCTGTGATGCAGCAAACGTGGACTCGTGGGCCGGGACCCTAGATATGTTTTAATTAAAATTTTAAAATATTAACTTTAATGTTACATCCTTTCTTAATTCAAGCAACAAGAAGAAAAGACTAAATTATTTATGTTATTTTATTCCAGTCTATGTATGGTGTGATGAAGTGATTGATGTTCAGCAGGTCCTCGAATAAAACATCATTTCAATCAATGTTGTTACCTTATAACACTGATGAGAAAAAAAATGGTTTCATTATATGTCATTTCACTTAAAGTTATTGTTTCCAAGAACGTATCATTTGCATTCAGTGATGACTTACTGTGTATATTTTTTCTTCAGCACAGCACCCACAAGATGCCTTTACCATGCCAGTAAAATAAAACATGTTTTACTGTGCAAGTTTTGCACACTTCTGCAGGAAGCTGAATAGCTGTTTATTTGGACTGAATAGTTTTGTTTTAGGTCTTACTATGCAATGATTAATTGCTTAGATGATGTAAATAGCCTGGATGCCAACTTCTTGAGTTGCTTGTGGACTATATTTCCATTTAAGACTATGTGAAGAGTATAGGAAGTGGATTAAATATATTGTGCACTTACAGGACCACAATACTTAAAGACTTGATTCTTACATAAAGGCAGACTAGAGAGCTAGGTCTATCCAAAGGAGATGGTGCATCAAATTCAAAAGGAATGCACCTTTTGTGTTGCTATATTTGGTGGTGTTTAGACATGGTATTTGTGCTAGAAAATTATTTTCAGTCATACATCACTTAACGATGAGGATATGTTCTGAGAAATGTATCCTTTCGTGATTTTTGTCATTGTGCTAACATCACACAGTGTACTTACACAAACGTAGATGGTATAATGTACTACACACCTAGGCTATATGGCCTATCATTCCGAGGCTACCAGTTCAACATGTTACTGAACTGACCACTGTAGGAAATCGTAATGCAACAGTAAGTATTGTATCTAAACATAGAAAAGGTACAACAAAAACATGTTATAATCTTATGGGACCACTGGTCTGTTATTAACAAAACCATTGTTATGTCATGCATGACTGGATATTATTGATATATAATAGGGATAAAAAACATGTCTTTTATGTGATTTGCTGCTGAACTTAGATAACTTTCACCATGTGGTATCTCCCTAAGTTTTTCAATCTTAGAGTGTCTAGGATTAAAATGATAACCCAAGTCAGCTGTGAAAACAAAGAGCCTCACGATCACCTGCTGATATAATTTAAAGATATAAACTGAAGAAGCTCTAACTCTAACCCTCTGAACACTAACGAGTGACAAGACTATCACAGCAATGAATGAAAAGCTCTTCAGAAAACAGAAAAATGCTCTGAAGATGTACGAAAATGCACTCAGGTTCTTTTGAATTGGAAGCAAGCTGTCAAAGATGCCCATCCCCAACCCAACGCTGTTAAAATGTTCAGTGGAGTAAAAGCACATAGGAATATCCTCTATTCCTCTTGATTTCATTCTGTGATGAATTAGTACCTTTACTGAAATGCCTACTTACAAAGGCAGTGTACATCATCAAACCTGGATCAGGGAGAATTCAGCAGATGTTCAATCAGGGGTTCAGTCATCATTTGTTGCTGGATCTACTCTGTCTAACTACACTGAAAGAGAGCTCAATAGAATGGTAAGGAGCACATTCCAATCACTAGAGAGTGAGTCAACTCTCCTTTCTTTGTATTTCTTCACTATCTTAGCCAGCTTGGGCTGCCATACAAAATAACATAGACTGGGTGACTTCAACAGCGGAAATTTATTTTCTCACAGTTTGGGAGGCTAGAAATTGGAAAACAGGGTGCTAGCATGGTTGGGTTCTGGTGAGGGCCCTCTTCCTGGCTTTCAGATGGTCACCTTTGAGCTAAATTCCTACACTGCAAAGAGAAAGAAACCTTCAGTTTCTTCCTCCTCTTGGAAAGACACTGAGCCCATCACAGGTGACACACCCTCATGACTTCATGTAAACCCAATTACCTCCCAAAGGCTCCACGTTTAAATATCATCACACTGGGGGTTACACATTTTGGGGAGATACAAGCGTTCATTCCATAACATTCATTATTATGTTACCTGAGAATGGATCAAATCTAAGGACATTCACTAGACAATCATCCTTGATGTTGGCCTCCAAGAGATGGGAACTGAGGCAGGTGATACCTGTCACACTGCATACACATGAACTACAATCAGACAGGATCAGACAAGAGACCTTAAGCATTGGTCTGTGAGCTTCTCCGCTGCATGACTATAGCCCCTGTCTGGAGTCACTATGGCTCAGTATGCAACTGTAATATGCTGTGGCAGAGGCTTTGCCCCAGCCCTACTCCATCAGTTGAACTAAGCATTCATTTATGGCTTGCTGAAGGGGATGCCAGGTCTTCACCTTTTGTGGTCTGAGAATTGGTCTAAGCTTTGCATAGTAGCTTTATCACATGCAAAGCCGAAGGCAGAAGTCACCACATCAGTTTTCATGGTTAGAGAAGGAACTTATCCCTGGCATGATGGTGATGGAGTGGTTGGGGTGCAGGTCTTGAGGCTTATCTGTTCTGTCTGAGCACCGGGCCCACACAGGTCTCCATGGAACCACTCAGAAGGTCAGTTTTACTAGAGGCAGTTTCTTCCCCTTAGGGGGAACTGCCTGTGGAGATCAGTCTTGGAAAATTCACTTTTATCAACTTTACACAACTTGTTCATGATTTATCAGACTTTTTATATGTTCCTAGATTCAAGTTGCTTATATTTTGTTTAGGATTTTTACACTGATATTATTAAATATATTAAATACATAATTAATGTGATTATTAAATGTGATTTTTTTCCCTTCATACTGTTCTTGTCAGGTTTTAGCATGAAGATGTTGCTAGCCTTTTATGTAAATTATGGAATATTTTCTCTTTTTCCTATTATTTGGAATATTCCCTATGAAACTGACATTGTTTCCTGAAAGTCTGATAATATTTATTTTTTTATTTTGTTAATGTGGAAAACTGTTAGCTATGAATTTATTACTTCAATGGGTATAGAATTATTTAAATATGATGTTGCTCTTCAAGGGAGCTTTAGTAAGTAAAATTTTTCTAGAAATGTGCCCATTTCTTCCAAGTTTTCAAATATGTTAGGAAAATTTTTTTCTCTATCCTTAATTTGTTAAAATTTCTGTAGCATCTGTGGTAACCCCCTTCTTAATTTCCTCTGTTGTTCATTTGTGCCATTTCTCTTTTGTTCTTTTCAGACTTGTCAATGGTTTGTCAATATTATTAATTATATTTGTAAAATATATTTGTCCTTCTTATCTTCTCTTTTTTATATCTACTTTATATTTTAATAATTTTGCTCTATCTTTATTTTTTATTTTGTATTTAGTGTATTTTATAGTTTTTTTCCTAGCTTTTGAAATTGGAAGCTTAGCTCATTAATTTCTATTCCTTTATTTTCTAATGTAAACATTTAAGACTATAGATATGTCTTAGCCCATTTTGGCTGCTATGACAAAATACCATAGACTGGGTGGCTTATAAACAACAGAAACTTATTTCTTACAGGTCTTGATGCTGGAAAGTCCAAGATCAAGGTGCCAGAAAATTTGCTGTCTCATGAGGGCCTTCTTCCTCATAGACAGTGATCTTTTCACTTTAACCTCACATGGCAGAAGGGGCAAAGGATCTCTCTTAGGCCTTTTTTATAAGGGTACACATCCCATTCATGAGGGCTCCACTCCCATAATCTAATCATCTCCCCAAAGCCCTACCTACTAGCACCATCACCTCTGTGGTGAGGATTTCAAAATATGAATTTTGATGAAAGATAAACATTCATACTCAAAAACCACTTCTGCTGCATTCACAGTTTTGATATGTCACATTTTCATTATTTTATCTTGTCTTATTGCACTGGCTGGGACTCCCAGTATGATGATGAATTGAAATGGTGAGAGCAGATATTTCTGGTTTGCTCCTAATTTTAGGAGGAATGTATTTAGTCATCCAACCTGAAGCATGGTGTTACCAATAGGTTTTGTAGATGCTCCTTATCAAGTTAAGGAAATTCCCTTCAATAACTTCTTGCTGAGAGATTTTAATGTTTACTTACGTCAAATGATTTTCTGTGTCTATTCAGATGACTATATAGTTTTTCTTCTATAGGCTCTTGATAGAATAATGGCACTTATTAATTTTTGCATGTTAGACCCGCCTCGTATCCCTAGGATAAAACCCACTTGGTCTTGACATGTTTTTCTTTTTTATCTGTTACTGAGTTTGATTTGCTAGTATTTTGTTGAGAATATTTTAATGTCTAAGTTCCTGAGGTATATTAGTTTATAGTTTTCTTGTAATGTTTTTATCTCATTTTCATAAAAAGTAATATTGTACTTAGAAAATGTGTAAGAAATGTCCCATCTTTTTCTAATATCTAGATGAGATTGTGAGGAACTGCTAGTTTTCACTTCAAATGTTGAGTAAAATTCATCAGTGAGTTTATTTATTTGGGCTTGGAGTTTTATTTGTTGGAAGGTTTAAAACTATCAATATAATTTCTTCCATAAATATACGACTATTCAGATTATTTATTCTTTAGTGATCTTTGGTAATTTATATGTTTTGAGAAATTAATCCATGGTATCTAAGTTGTCATATTTATGGGCATTAAGTTGTTTGTAATATTTTCTAATTAACCTTTAATATCTGTAGGGTGTTATGATGTCCATTCTTTTCACTCCTGGTATTTGTAAATTCTGTCTCCTCTCTCTTTCTCTTGGTCAGCCTCTCTAGTGGTTAGTTAAACTTGTTATTTTTGTTTTCTATTTCACTGATTTCTGCTGTTGTCTTTATTATTTTTTACTTCTGCTTGTTATTGGGTTTAATATGCCAATTTCTCAACTTATTGCAGAGGATGTAGCTTTATATTTTACATATTAATTTAGACTGCTTTCACCAGAGTTAGTGAAGATACACAGTCAACAGTATACTTTTTTAGGATTTGAAAAGAAACCATAGGATAATCTTTAGAACAAAGAGTTATTAGCTTAAATAAGCATGTTTTCGTCTTGTAATAAAAATTGGAATAATGGAAAAAAGAAAAAAAAAGTTAGGGACTTGATCCAGCAAACAATCCTGGAGGAGGTAGAAGTGTGGGACAATCTAATGCAGGCTTAAGTTTTATAAACTGGGCCTACTCGAAAGGAATAAGAAGACATTAGAGGATAACATATATTTCAGTTCTATTGTTTCAGGAAAACAGAGGTTGAGGTAAAATAACTTCTTTTGCTATTGTAATAGAAAATGTTCTTAAGCCCTGGAAAATTCAAAAGATCTGGAAGGACTAAGACTGGGAGAAGACAATGTAGAATAGGTCATATATTTCCAAGAGGTTCCTGAGTGTCCAAGCTCAGAAAGCTACAACACAGACTCACACAATATAGTCAGCCATTCTACTGGAGTTGGAGAGATCTAGAGAGAAGTCTAAGTTTGGGGTAGTAGAAAATGTAAGGCTATACATTTGACTTCAAGAATTGTTCACTAGAAATACAGTCCTTTCTCTCAAGAGAGAGCAATAGAATCTCAGAGAATATGAAAGAACACCATGCCCCTAGGATTGACATTCCTAAAAATCTTCAGATTAGACTCTTTCAGGACAGAAATGAAAACAGAAGCTTTGAGCTCTCCCTGGTGATGGGTCTGCAACCAGAGAGGATTTCTAGCTTGATAGCAAAAAACAAACAAGCAAACAAACACATATTTTAAAAATCACAAAAGATAGGGAGTCTATTACCGGAGAATCTCCCTTATATATTCTTCTATTGCCAAGGAAATCTCCACTATCTTTATGAATATGGAAATCAAACTATGACATGGTTTGTTATATTAAGAAACTATAAATGTGCTTTGGCAAGAAATCTTTAGTTTTAAGTCTCAAAGAAACAAATTGACTATTCTTTCTGAAGGTATTTCCAACCTCACAATTCGCTTTGTTTTTCAGATTGATAGAAGCACATTTATTTTATTGTATGGTATTTTATAAACCCTCAACCCCCCAATTTGATCAGATTCAGTTTCTTATGGACTGTTTAATTGTGTAGACATTTAAGCTTATGACTTTAAGACCATAATGTAATTTTAAATTCATTTAAATGATTCTTCAAATAGTTATTTTTAATCAAATATTTGCATTTTAAAATATAGATTATATATTATATATATGTTTCACTAGATTTTAAACTATAGAGTGACTCATTTGAGAAGCGGGTATTTTCTTTTTTAAAATGTGGCTTTGAAAGTAATAAGCCATTTTTGTGGTTCTCTTTAAAGGTAGCTTTCTAAAAGATGGCTTATATATTTCAGTTCTTTTTTGGTGGGTAAAGACCATCAGTATACTTAAAAATAAATCATTGGTTCAGGCATAAATTACATAGGTCACCAAATCTGAGTGCAAAGCAAATGTGAATCAGATAGAAAAATTCATCACCTGTTAAATAACCCCACCAAAGAAATCTTTTGGATTTGAACCAGCTGCCTAGGCCATGGAGGGCAGGGCTGTCCCTCATGGGGCAGGCACAGACACAGAACCAGTTGCAGAAGAGAGCCCCTATCAGCTCAATAAATCGAAGACAGGGCAAAGACTTCCTCATCATTATGGGCCTTCAACTCTCTTCACAGACTTCCTGCAGAGACCAGGAATACACTTCTGACAAATTCCCAACAGTTTATTTGTCAGATATTTTATTCAAATTGCTTCCTTCTCCTTGCAGAGTACGCAAAAGAACAGCAATATCCCGTCCCCTCTGTACCTCCTAACTGCTGTTTCAAGGGATAACGAGCAAATTTAGATCTTCATTACAATGTTAGTTTGCACAGCAGGCCCTATTTATTTTTCTCTACCTTGCTATTGTAATCACCAGGACAAGAAGAGTGACTCCGGATAAAAGCATTTATTTGGGGCCAGTGTTGCAAAAATATTCAGATGTTGAGATGGTAGGAACTGCCTAACATTGTTCTTTGGGGAAAGTACTGAAAAGCTCATTATAGCTCAACCACATAGAGCTTCTATGATTATCCATGCTCAGATGACATCTAAAAGAAGGATATTTTTAATTACAATCTTTTTTCCTTCAATGTTTTTAAACAGGCAAGCCACTATCTCAAATGTTTTTCTCTGTTTTTAGAGCTGGAATCTTCATGTCAAATATCCCCTTTCCTGGGACTACAGTAAAAATTGTACTGGTACAGTGCACTGTAAATATTTCAGATATAATATAACAGAAATAACAAGGCAAGAGTAATGAGGGTGAAAAAAAGACTCGGAATCATTGAGGCTTGATTGCATTCTCATAAGAAATGTTAGTAAGTACTTACTGAAAGGATGAAAGCATTCTGAGATCATAGCAATCATATTAACAGCAGTTTATAGTTTACAGTGCAGTTTCAAATTATGCAGCATTAATAAACCTCTTTTTAGCAGACCAGAATAACTTCTATAATTCTGAAAAATTAAACAGATCTCTATGATTTGGGAGGAGATTGAAGAAGTTTAGGGGATAGAATTTCACTAGAAGTACTTTCCGCCTTCAGGTTGCCATGCCACAGACACCTGGCCTTTGCTTTTTCTCTCCTCAGCCTTAAATTAAAGTATTCTTTTTGGTTTCTTCTCTGGCATCTTCTTAATGTATACACATTGTCAATTTTCTTATGCTCTTGACAGCCAAATCTATATGTCCAGTCTTATCAACTCTCACTCACACAAACATGTACTAAATGCCTTAGGCATGGGCCTAATGGTAGGGATGAAAAGTAGGGTGAGGATCATTCATTCAAAAAAAAATACTGGAAGAAATTTTTCTTAAACTAAAGAAAGACCAGAGAAGTCATATTGCTAGGGCCTTCTGGCTGCAAAACAGGAGGAGTTGAAGAAAGACCACAACCAGATGCATCAAATCTCAGAATTACAAGGATGAAGATAGCCTTCTAAATCTTTCAGAGGGATAAGAAATTACCAACAGAGAAATGAAAATATAATTGACATAAAATACTTTATCAAGAATTCTCAAGTGTGAGAAAAAAAATAATAGTGCCTTTAAATTTCTCAGGAAAAATGTTTTTGAATATAAGTCGAATAATGGCTACTAAAGATTCTTATGACCTAATACCCAAACCTGTAAATATGTTGCCTTACATAGCAAAAGGGACTCTGCAGATGTGATTAAGGTTACAGACCTTGAGATGTGGAGATTATATCCTTGCGGGCATCACTTTTTTTGGAGAGCCTTTGCTGGCTGGATCAGAAAGAGATGTGACAATTAGGAGGGTCAGAGAGGTGTGTAGTGAGCATTAGGCCTGTCATTGTGACTTTGAAAATGGAAGGAAGCCAAAGAATGCAGTGACCTCTGGAAACTGACAACAGCCTTCAGTTTACAACCAGCAATAAAATAGGGACCTTCATACCACAAGCTCAAGGAACAAACTGCCAACAGTCTGAATGAACAGTAAAAAGATTATTCCCTAGAGAAACCAGAAAAG